>NC_000017.11:6097171-6248686 GCF_000001405.40 Homo sapiens | reverse complement strand
TAAACCCAAACCCAGTGGCTCCCAGCTGATGGGAATTATAAAATCACTTACTCCACTTGTTTCCCCTTTCAGATAGGGAAACTGAGGCTCAGAGAGAAAAAGCTGCTTACCAAAACTCACCCAGCAACAAAAACCAGACCAGAACCCGGCCAGGACATACTTCACATCTCCCCACTGGATGGTCCCCTGGGCATCTTTGGTCACGATCACGACATAAAATCCTTGGAGGCAACTACAGCTTTGCAGTTCTCATGGTTTACATCAAGGGCAGGCACACCTTTTCTGTAACAGGTCAGACAGTAAATAATTTAGGTTTGCAGGCTATGCAATCTCTGTCACAAATACTCATCTTTGTCCTTGTCATGCAAAAAGAAGCCATAGTCAAAATGTAAATGATGGGTGGGTGTGGCTCTGTGTCAATAAAACTTTATTTACAAAGACGGGAAGTAGGCTGTCTTTGTAAACGAAGACAGACAGGCAGGCCATAGTTTGCTTATCCCTGGTTTAAAGATTAGGGTTTTTCCAGGGTCTGGTCTGGAGCATCTGAAAGCATCACCTTCTGCTTCCCCCTGTCTTAGGCCTTATCATGTCGGAATTGTCCATTTTCCTGTTTGCGTCCACAGCAAGGCTGGGAGCCCCTTGAAGGCAGAGGCTACACCTTGTTCACTGTTGTGTCCTGGGGTAGCACACTGGACCTGTTATGGAGCGCTTGCTCAGTAAAGCGTTGTTGAATAAGTGAACAAATGAATGAGTTCGTGAATTCCAGCGTGGGAATAAAAAGTCTAGAGGATTTAGAGTCCAGCCTTTTGGTCGAAAGAGGGGGAGGCTGGTGCGAGGTGACACTTGCCATGGAGAATCAGAAGGTCAGTTGGCTGAAAGTTCCTGCATCCAAAGCTCCTTGTTCCTGGCTTGTCTGGAGGGGAGTTGAGGCTGTGGTGCCATTTTTGATGCATTACGGCTGGGGAACAGGAAGCTTGATCCTGCCCTGACACCCACCCCTCCTGCCCGAGTGCTTCTGGAAGGAGCTATGCAGACAAGGAACACAACCAGAATGGAATTTAAAGCCTATTGTGCCACAAATATATATGTGTATGTGTATGTGTATGTATATGTGTGTGTGTACATATATGTATATGTGTGTGTATATATGTATGTGTGTGTGTGTATGTGCGTGTGTGTGTGTGTTTATATATGTATATGTGTTGGAACCCTAACCACTAGTACCTCAGAATGTGACTTTATTTGGAGATAGGGTCTTTATAAATGTTATCAAGTTAAAATGAGATTATTAGGGTGAGCCCTAATCTGGTATGACTGGTGTCTACCTACATGTTAAGGAGAGAGGCCTGGAACAGACCCATCCTTCATAGCCCTCAGACGGGACCAACCCAGATGACACCTAGACTGGAGACTTCTAGCCTCCAGAACTGTGAGATAAATGCATGTTGTTTAAGCCATGCGCTGTGGTGCTTTGACGCAGAAGCCCCAGCAAACTAATGCAAACCTTTGACTTGGAAAGGAGCAGCACAAGCAGCTCATATCCCGTGCCCTGAGCTGATGCAGAGATCTGGCAAAGTTGGAGCACACCACCAGGCTCGTATTGCTCTGCTGTGAAGGCATTTATTAGAAAGGAGTTTTCAAAGAGCTGTTGAAAAAGGAAAGGGTGGCTCCATCTCTGCATTCATCCATTGGCTCAATGAGCCTCTGTTGCTCTGCCCCAAGTCCTGAAACTTCATAGAGGGTGTCAGGGTTGGGTGAGCCCAGAGGCTGGGAGCCCAGGGAAAGGAGCTGAGGCAAGGACTTACTGAGATAATGTGAACTAGATGGGGGGACGGGCCGTGTGGATGGAGAGCACGGAATAAATGCGGGACCCATGTGATAGGAGGTCTGTCCCCTCTAACCCAGACCCTGGCACTCCCCTTCCTTCCCTTCATTCCTAATTAAATGGAGGTGGCACTGGCCTCATGTGTATTTCAGTCCCAGTTATATTAATCTTGCTGAGTTCCTAGGCCACGATGGCTCTATGAATCCTGCCTTTCCTGAGCTAATGGGGTGGCATAAATAACTCCAGGGGAAGCATGCGCCCTGGCAGCTCCTAAGTCAGGCTGGAGTTAATCAATCCTCTGCTTGGAGTGTAGCTGAAGGCTCAGATGTTAGGTCAGAGGTTGTGTCTGTCTATGGGCTAATTTCCTTCTAACAGATGCCACTCCAGAAAGTCTAGGTGCCTTCAGAAGAAGACAAAGTCTAGGTCAGAAGAAGGCAACAGTGGGAAGTTAAGAATCTGCCCTCTGGGGTGAGTGCGGTGGCTCACGCCCGTAATCCCAGCATGTTGGGAGGCTGAGGCAGGCGGATCATGAGGTCAGGAGTTTGAGACCAGCCTGGCCAACATGGTGAAACCCCGTCTCTACTAAAAACACAAAAATTAGCCAGGCGTAGTGGCGGGCGCCTGTAGTCCCAGCTACTCAGGAGGCTGAGGCAGGAGCATCGCTTGAACCCAAGAGGCAGAGGTTGCAGTGAGCTGAGATCACACCACTGAACTCCAGCCTGGGTGACAGAGCAAGACTCCATCAAAAAAAAAAAAAAAAATCTGCCCTCTGATGTTCTCCTTGGCTCAGAGGCAGATGGAAACTCAGCCAGCTCGTGAGTGAGTTAAGGTGGCTGACACTGCATCTGGTGGTTCCACCAGGCTCCTGGGAGAGGCTGCTTCATCCTCCCACTGCAGGCGGCAGAGGCCCTGTCAGAGGAGTGCTGCTCATCTGTCTGTTCTGTGCGTGTGGCCCTTCAGCCAATGGCTGACCTGCTCCAGCCCCATCAGAGCCTCCATCTCCTCCAAGAGATGGGATGCACAGGGTTTACAACATACTCCTGCAGCCAGACTGCTTTAGTTCAGACGCTGGCTTCATCTCTTACTTGCTCTGAGACTTTGAGCACGTTGCCTAGTCCTCGGATCCTCCACTTCTTCATTTGTAAGATAGGTGGGTAATAATGAGGACAACAATCTAGGCTGACCCTACCCAATGACAGGGCTTATTGTATGGACTTAATGAGCGACCTCATGTAAGGTCTTGGGGCAGGGCCTGGCACATCAGAAGTGCTCACTAAGTATTAGCTATTATTAGATCTCTATCCTCGGGGGACCTCATCTGTCCTGGTTTCTTGGGAAGCATCTGCAGCAGCTCATGGATGCCCTGGCCTTCCTTCCAGCATCCTAGGGGAAGGGCAGGGCTAAGAAGTAGGTGCACAGGGACCCCATTGCTGGGGCTCTGAGGCTCCTGCCAGCTTGACTGGGATTTTCCATGCCCCAGCATGGGCAAGGGGTCAACCTTCAGCTCCTCAGATGCTCTGCTGATGGTGGGCCACTGCCAGCCTGCACTGTGACAGGCAGTGGGCTGAGCCTTCTGGGCAGGGTCATCTCTCAAACTGCCTCCTGGGCTCCATGCTTCCAGGACTCTGAAGACAGTGGAGAGGGGGGTTCAAGCACCTCCTCACTGGTGCATAGAACTTTACAGTCTACAAAGCCTCTTTACCCCCTTTGGAGATCTTTTTTGAATCTCTCCAGAGCCCAGGGAGACTGGCATTTCACAGAGGAAGATGCTGAGACTTGCAGAGGGGGTGTGATTTGCCCGAGGGCACACAGCTAGGACAGTGAGACCTGTCTTGCAGCTGCCCAGCTTATTCAGCCTTCCCCGCTCTGGAGAGACTTGGCCCCAGGCTCTGACTCTTAACCAACAAGCCTCTCCCAGTGAGTGTTTTGGCTCCTCAGCCCCCGAGAGCTGATCTCAGGCTGTTCGCTGGGGACAGAGAGCAGGAGACCTCCTACAGGCTATGAAGGGGTGGACCCCATCACCCAGCAGCTCCAAATGGGAGCAGGAAGTCTGGTTCCAAGAGGCCCCATCACAGACTTATTTTCAGAAGTCATTGGGACAAACCCAACTCCCAGAGATGGAGGCTCAATTCATTAAGCTTAGATGATTAATTACAGGGCAATTAAATATTTGATTAAATTAATGCTAAGGTGTTTAAACATTGTTTTGCAAAGAATGTTTGCTCATTAATTAGAATGGCTAATGGCACGAACAAAGCAGGGATGGGGGCTCGGGGGAGACAAGGAAGCCTGGAACTCAACCCTTCTGAGGCTGTCCCCTGGAGAGGCAGGAGTCGTCTCTGCCTGCAGCTTCCCCACCTGACCTTGGCACCTCTGTGCTCTCATCTGCAAATGTGTCCAGGGAGAATGGAATCCTGGAAGGAGCGTCAGCCGGGCTGGGGGCAGGAAACATGAGACCTAGTCCTGACTCTGTCACTGACACCCTGATTGCCTTTGGAAGAGTCTCTGCCCTCTTGGTCTCAGGGTCTCAGTCCTCCCATCAGCACAATTGGTGAGAGTATCAACTCTCCAAAGTTTCTTCTGGGTCTGACCCTTGAGGAGTTTTGCCCAGTAAGGTCAACATTTTCATTGCTAATCAAAAAGGAGAAAATAGGGCAGAAGAATGTCTACACTGCTCCTGATCCTCACCTCTGTGGGTTAGATGGTGTCTTCTGCAAGGCCTCTCCCTCCAGGGGATGCCCAGCTCTGACTGAGCATCATGTGGCCTTCAAGCCTTGAGGGACCTTCAAGCCTATCTAGTTTGATGCATAAGCCCCCTCCCATCCCTCCTCCAGTGGTTGTCCATTTACTCATTAAGTAAACATGTAGGCAACTCCTGCTATCTATCACAGAGATATCTATCCTGCTATCTATGTCTCCTGCCCTCTATAACAGGGATGGAGGGGTGAATAGGATTGACAGTGTCTCTATCCTTGTGAGGTTAATGGTCCAGTAGGGGAAATTGACATTAAATAGATCATTCCCCAAGTTCTTCCGGAATGCGTACTACTTGTGTTGTCACACGCTTAGATGTCCAACAGAGGAATTGTCTCTATTTCTAGAAATAAATGTAATCTGTGACTCTGAGCCATTGGCCTGGTGCAGATGCCATATTCCAGTTTATTGTTGAAAGGGTCCTTTGCAAGAACAGCACCTCATCGACGCTCTTTGGCCACGGCACTGGGAGGCAGCAGGGCTGACAGTGAAGGGCTCAGCAGACAGCACAAATGCCCATGGGCCCACCCCATTCTTGAGTGGCAGCAGAAAGTGTTCCTTCCTAACATTGCTGCAGCCCTGGGTTTCAGGAGCTGGGGTTTCTGACAGTGAACAGTCACAGGCTTGTTGGCATCCCCATGGCCTGGGGCATGGAGATGCTGGATCAGAGAGACACAGCACAGTGCTTCCCCACCAAGAGGTGGTCATGAGGCTTGGCTACCCTACTGAGGAGTCAGACATGGTGGTAAGAACTGAGATAGGGTCTGAGTCAATGAGGAAATCATGGCTCTTCCTCCTCAGAGCAGTCTTGTGCCCTGCCTGGGCTGCAGCAGCAGGTGACAAGTGACAACAGCCACTCTATCAGCAGTGGCTGCCAGCAGAGGGGACCAAGTCCAGGTGGGGAACCTCCCCCTACTACCAACCGCTGATTGCTCAGCCATAGCAGTGGATCCTCTCCTTTTCCTGTGGGGTGGGCCAGGAGAGGCTGGGACCTGTTGGGAGGGTTGGGGAGAGCATTCACGAGGACTGAATTGTTGATCCTGGACTGAGTTGTGAAATCAATGAATGGAAAGGAAGAAAGTCCAGTATAGAATTAACTGGGTGTCGGGGAGGTGGGACAGGGAGGGAAGAAGCCGGGCAAGAGTCAGATCCCAAGTGAACTCCCGGCTTCTTGGGCTGATCCTGTGAGGATCTCTGGCACATAAATTACGCACAGTTTGCCCTTGCTCCACAGTTGGGCATTCTTATTCCTGCACCAGGGATTGGCTATGGGCTGCCCTGACAAGTGCCAGAAATTTTTGGGCACTGTCTCTTCCTATGCGGGCAGGGCTGTGGCTTCAGTAGCCAGAGAGCGGGTCTCAAGAGTCACAGGTGCAGGTGATTGAAGAAAAAAGCACAGAGAAAGGAGCTGGGGAGGATGCGCTGTGCATAAAGAGGCCTGATAGGTCCCGGCAGAGCTTTAACAATGACCCACCCTCCGGTCCATTTCAGCCCTCTACAAATCCCAGCTTCATCTCTCCCGTTCATCCTGAGCTCATTCGATTCCACTTGGTGTGAAGGGGAAGCATAGCCTAGAGGTTGAGTCTTTGGTCCTTTAAAAGCAGAAGGGGTTATTATTATTTTGTCTCTGGACTCCCATACCCCCAGCACAGGATCAGGCACTATACACAGCTGGTTCTCAATCAAAGTCACCTTCTGTCTGTTAAATTGCACAGCTTGGATGACCCTGGAGCCTTGGCTGATGTGGTGGGTGCTAGTGTTTTGCTACCATTGCAGTCTAGGCGAGGGATTCCCCAACAGGCTTGTTCCAGGGCACTGCTCTGCAGAGGGTGACAGCTGGGATTTGTCCCCTGAGCCAGAAGGGCTCCAGTGCTGGCCCAGAGCTGTGTCTCACATTTTATAAAAGGCTGGCCTTGTGGCCCAGGGCCAGTGAGGCCCGCCAGCTGGCCTCTGGCCTGCATGTCCCGTTGGAGTGCCCAGGTGCCCAGAATGGGGGCTTCTCCAGGCAAGGCAGCACTCCTGCCTCTTGCTAAGCCCTGTGCTGCAGTTGCCAATGGGCGTTAGGCACAGGGGTGGCTGAGAGATGCTGTGGTCTGCAGCCATCCCAGCTCCTGAGAGAGGGGTCTGCACGTGGCCAGGAGGCTTGAAGCTGTGGATGAGGACCCCTGCCCTGTTGTCCTTCATGCATGACAAGGCCTGCTGCAGGAGCCGCTTGTCCTGTCTCATTAATACCCTGACTTCACTCTCCGGTGGCCTCTGTTCTTCAGGCCCACTAAGAACAGAGGTAGTCAGAGGGGGTCCCTCCCTTAAGAGACTCTACCAGGGTGGGTGGGCAGAGACAGGCGTGTAAACCAGCAGGTGAAGCACCACCCTGAGTTCACTCGTTCGTTCGTTCATTCATTCATTCATTCATTCATTCATTCATTGAATGTTAAGTAGGTACTGGCAAGGCATGGCCTCACCTTCCTGGAATGTCTAGTGGGGGAGACAGAACAAACAAGCAAACAACCACAAATGCAAATGGAATGCAGATGCTTGTTAGCATTGTGAGGGGAGTCAACAGGGTGCTGGCTGGAGCAGCATAGGGAGACGCAGTTTACCCAGGGTCAGGGAGGGTCTCTCTGGGAAGATGACCTTTGGGAACTGACAGAAGGCAAGGGACCAAGTGGAAGGTCTGGAGCAGCCAGGGCTGAGGTCCTGGGAGGAGCTGGGTGTGATCCGGGGGCAGCAGTGGGCCAAGGAGGGTAGGAGCCAGGAGGAGATGGCCCTAAGGAGGTTGGGGAAACAGCCTGGGCAGCCCTGGGAGGGGCTTTGGATTGAATCCTGGGTGCAAGTGGAAGGCACTGGAGCATTTTATGCAAACTTCAGCTGATAAGTATAGATTTTGTCTTCTGGAAGGCATGTTGAAAATGGGCAGATGATGACAGGCATGCAAGTAGGAAGGTCAGTTAGGAGGCAATGGTAACAGTCCAGGTGGGAGACTCTGGTGGGTGGGGACAGCGAGAAGAAGAGAAGCACACAGGTTAAGTCCTTATTTTGGAATCACTGATGTGAGAGAAAAATCAAGATGACAGGAGCACTCCTAGGCTTCTGGTTTTGTGATGGGGTGCATGGCCGAGGCAGGTGTGAATCCATCATCCTGGAGAATAACCAGTTTAAGGTTACAAGTGAAGAGTTCCTTTCGGGTTGGGTGTGTCCATTAGATAAGCAAGTGGAAACATCAGGCCGACCTCAGGTACGTGAATTGGGAGCTCAGAAGGGTGACAACGTCCTTAGAGGGCCGTCAACATACAGATGCCCATCAAGACAATGGGGAGGGATGGGACCCCCTGCAGAGAGAAAGCAGAGAGGGCCCAGGACAAGGTGCAAAGAGTCAAACTTTGGAAGGGGAAAAGCAAGGAGACGAACGTGGCAGGAGAAAGGCCAGAGGACAGGGTGATGGCAGGTGAGGAGGAAAGTGTTTTCAGTAGGACAGAAACGCGCTAAATGCCATTGAGAGGAGGAGTTAGGTGTGCACCGAAGTGGCCACTGGATTTGAAAATATGGGTGTGACTTGCTGATCATGATGCCAAATAGAAAGGAAGACTGTTGCAATAGGGAGGACACTCTGAGCTCAGAAATCTGCAAGTGCCTCATGATCAAACAGAAGGGTATCTTTCACTGAGCAAAGCAGGAGCAAGCAGAGAGAGGCAGAATATTCCGAGGGGAAGCTGGACACACAAGAGCTCATGCCCAGTGGGTCTGGGAAATGTCCACTCTGGTCAATAATTCCCAGGAGAGGTTGGTTGGTGCGGGGTGATTTCTACTTTCTTGTGCATGCCCAGGCTTGGGGGAGAGCAGAGTTTAGAGGCCCACAGGCAAGAGAGAAGTCTGAGAAAAGTTTGGCCAAGCAAAGCAGAGGTCAGCGGTGGGCAACAGTGGACACATGGTCAAGGACAGATGCAGTTCCAGTGGAGGTGGGGGCAGAGCCAGACCAGGGTGGGTCAGAGGGTGAGTAGGAGGTGACGGAGTGAGGACTGCCAGGGTACAGCTATTTTAAGTTCTATTGTTGGGGTGAGGGGGGAGGCAGGGAGATGGGCTGGTGGCTAGAGGGAAAGGTGGGATTAAAGAATGATTTTTCTAAGGCGCGAGGCCAGGAGCGATGGCTCACGCCTGTAATCCCTGCACTTTGGGAGGCCGAGGTGGGCGGATCACGAGGTCAGGAGATCGAGACCATCTGGCCTATATGGTGAAACCCCATCTCTACTAAAAATACAAAAAATTAGCCGGGCGTGGTGGCACGCACCTGTAGTCCCAGCTACACGGGAGGCTGAGGCAGGAGAATCGCTTGAACCCGGGAGGCGGAGGTTGCAGTGAGCCGAGATCTTGCCATTGCACTCCAGCCTGGGCAACAAGAGTGAAATTCTGTCTCAAAAAAAAAAAAAAAAAAAGCGTCCCTTACAGCCTTCCAGGGTGGCTCACGTCTGTTTCCTCTTGACTCAGAATGAGTTCAGCTAGCTTCTTTCCTGCTTTCCAGCCCCTCCTCACCTGGCCTGGCAGATAAGCCCAACTTTCCCTCCAGGCAGAGCTTGCCCTTGGGTGCCTGGAGCTGGAGTTGGACCCAGAATCTTTTTCTTACATCCCACAGGCATTGGAACATGCACAAAACCTCCTGACTTCCCCTGAGCACGCTAGGAGTAGCGCAAACAAGCTGCCAAAACCAAGTTTTCACCCGTAGAACCAAAGCCCTCTGCCAAGGCAAGCCTAGGTGGCCCCCTCTCCTCTCCCCTCTGCCCACCCACCCACCGCTCTGCTCAGCATGTGGGTCACCAAGAGGATCAGAATGAACAATCCACTCTGTGAGAATTAAAAAAGCTGGGACAGCAAGGGATTCCCTGTCCCCCACCCAGCCTGCAGCAGCCCATGCAAATTCCCGCATGCCTGGAAGCTTCAAGTTATTTAAACAAATGCGCACTTAACTCCTTCAATTGCAGACATCTGAATTCTGTATTTCAAGCTTGAAAGGAGAACAGATTATCTTGCATGAAGACAGTGTGGTGTGGTAGGAAAGACTCAGATTTCAGGCAGGGCGCAGTGGCTCACACCTGTAATCTCAGCACTTTGGGAGGTTTAGGCAGGTGGATCACCTGAGGTGAGGAGTTCGAGACCAGCCTGACCAATATGGTGAAACCCTGTCTCTGCTAAAAACACAAAAATTAGCCGGGCGTGGTGGTGTGCGCCTGTAATCCCAGCTACTCAGGAGGCTGAGGCAGGAGAATCGCTTGAACCCGGAAGGCGGAGGTTGCAGTGAGCCGAGATTGCAGCACTGCACCCCAGCCTGGGTAACAGAGGGAGACTCTGTCTCATAAAAATAAAAAGACACAGATTTGGAATTCTATCGGCATTTACACTTTCTAGCTGCGTGAATTTTAGGCAGTTTACTCACCCTCCCTGTGCCTCCGTTTCCATTTGTAAGATGAGGATGTTAGGAAGAACCCCTCCCTACCTGCCTCATAGGTCTGACGCCGAAATCAGGTGAGTGTTTGTGGGGCTGCTTTAGAAACTGTGGCCCAAGGGATGATGGGAGCGAGAAGGTCACTGAGCTCCCCACGGGTGCTGCTCGCAGAGCGCCTGAACATCGCTTTTGCCGGAGGAGGCGCGGTGCTGTGCAGCGTGGGCTCTGTTTTCAGCTTGAATCCCACAGAAGCAGTAACTGTTCTGGCTAATTGGAGCAGAATAAAAGTCTCCCCCAGTGCCCCAGAAAGCAAGCATCCAGGAGAGAAAGCACCGACGGGGGCCGACTGCTGCGGGGTACACAGAGGAGGATGCATGGATCAGCCGGCAGGGAGAGCGGACAGCAAGCCCGGAGGGACCGGGGAAGGAGCTCCGCTGCTTTGCGGTGGCGGCTGTGGGGAGGATCTGGAAATGAATATCCAAAGAGTGTTTTACTTTGGCTCAGGTACTTAGGTCTCAGTTAACTATTAGTCAAAATCATCTAGTTCCCCTTTCAAAGTGAGGTTTCAATCATTGTCATTGAACCCTCCAGTCTTTTTTTTTTTTTTTTTTTTTTTTTTTGAGGCGGAGTCTCGCTCTGTCGCCCAGGCTGGAGTGCAGTGGCGCGATCTCGGCTCACTGCAAGCTCCGCCTCCCGGGTGAACCCTCCAGTCTTAGTAAGTTTTTAAAGTTTAATAGTCACTCTTGGAGAAGCTTGGGTATGGCCTATTTTGCTAATTCCAATTAAAACCTGGGTGCCCTGAAAAGGGTTCAACACAGGAAATTCTATCGAAAACACATCATTTATCTCCCTGTGTTTGCGGATCCTCCAGCAATAAGCGATGTTCACGCCTTTGAAAATGGAAACATACCTTCTGAAACGTTAATTTTGCCAAGTAAGGTGGGAGGTGGAATTGGAATACCTGGGTTGCAATTCCAGCTCTGTCACTAGGGGAGAATTTCATTATTCATTCCACATTCAATCCACAAAGGATTGTTGAAAAAAATGAAGGCCAGAATGGAGGATGTTAAACTCATCTTAATAATCACCCCAAATATAATTCGATAAAATGCAGTCATTAAAAAAATTATAACCTAAGAATTCAAGGATTTTTCAACAGGATAAAACATACCTATTTCAATGCAAAAATTGCACTGGTGAAACACCAGTAGCTTTAAAATTAGGAACAAAAAAGAAAGCCTGTTATCACACTGATAATTCATTAACAAGTTAAGGCTCGGCACCGTGGCTCACGCCTGTAATCCCAGCACTTTAGAAGGCTGAGGTGGATTGATCATCTGCGGTCAGGAGCTTGAGATCAGCCTGGCCAACATGGTAAAACCCCGTCTCTACTAAAAATACAAAAAAAAAGAAAAAAGATTAGCCAGGCATGGTGATGGGCACCTGTAATCCCAGCTACTTGGGAGGCTGAGGCAGGAGAATCACTTGAATCCGGGAGATGGAGGTTGCAGTGAGCTGCAATTGCGCCACTGCGTTCCAGCCTGGGTGACAAGAGTGAGACTCTCTCAAAACAAACAAACAAACAAAAACCAAGTTAACTTAAACCCTACCAAGTTCCTAAAAGGATTTAAGGTAGTGGTGCGATTTAATCTTATTTGGACATCCCAGTCAATTTAGTAAGGCAAGATAAAATAACTTGGGGGAAAAAAGGGACAACATGAGAACATTTGTATGGATAGTGAATACAAAAGAATCAGTACAAATTCACAAATTAAAGAGTTTAAGGGAGAGGACAAATGCAAACTACATACATAAAAATTGATAGTCCTGAACACCACACTAGCTAGAAAATATAATGGAAAAAAACCATTTACAACACAAAAAAGTGATCTAACATACTTAGGAACAAACATATGCCTGAACTTTTTTTTTTTTTTGAGACGGAGTCTCGCTCTGTGGCCCAGGCTGGAGTGCAGTGGCGCGATCTCAGCTCACTGCAAGCTTCACCTCCTGGGTTCATGCCATTCTCCTGCCTCAGCCTCCGGAGTATCTGGGACTACAGGGGCCCACCACCACGCCTGGCAAATTTTTTTATATTTTTAGTAGAGACGGGGTTTCACCGTGTTAGCCAGGATGGTCTCGATCTCCTGACCTCGTGATCCGCCCACCTCGGCCTCCCAAAGTGCTGGGATTACAGGCGTGAGCCACCGCGCCCGGCCGCCTGACCTTTATCAGGAAAGTTGCACATCCTAATAGAGTGGGGGTGGGGAGAGACAAGACGAGCACATTTGGTATTATGAAAATGTCTCACTACCTTAGGTGAATTCACAAACATAGCCTACCCCAAATCAATCTCAACAGTACTTCTCTGAACACAACTGATTCAGGAAAAACAAACGGATGAGGATTTCAAAGGGCAGTCTAAGAAAAAAGAGTAAATCCCACAGCCGAACCTGTTAGACATTAGAACGTTTTATAAAATAATAATTTAAAATAAATGATGTTGTGAAACCAGAGAGTATGGAAGAATTTTAATAGAGCTTCCCCCTTCCACTGAAATAGACTACAGATGGATGAAAGAGCTGAATTTATTTTTAAAAATAGAAAAGTTAGCAGAAAATGGAATATTTATTACCTCTACGAAGAAGGACCAGTGTCAGCTTTGAAGCAATAGAAGAAACCACAAAAGATAAAACAGACAGAAGACAGCAAAAACAAAACAAAAACTCCCATATGTCAAAAAAAAAATGTAATGAAATGCTAGATGGAAAAAGATAGTTGCACCAACTTTGATACAGGAAGAGTTGATAGCAATGTTACTTAAAGAGTTTATTAAAATGTATGAGAGAGAAAGTATTATGACCCAATAGATAAGTAGACAATACTTTTTTTTATTATACTTTAAGTTCTAGGGTACATGTGCACAACGTGCAGGTTTGTTACATATGTATACATGTGCCATGTTGGTGTGCTGCACCCATTAACTCGCCATTTACATTAGGTATATCTCCTAATGCTATCCCTCCCCCGTCCCTCCACCCCACAACACATTTAAGCAGGCTATTCACATGAGGGGCATCCAGTGTGTTAACAAACACCTGGGAAAATGTTTAGCCTTGCTAGTAATCAGAGCAATTAAAATTAAGCAGTCTTGAGGTGCTATTTGATGCTTACTAAAGTAGCAGAAACACCTACCTCCAAACAGACACGTGTCACAAGTCACCACGGCAAGATTAGGGGGTGGGATGTGGGATATGGATGGGGGCACAATGGGTTACTCTAAGTGAGCAATCTGCAATAAGAATCAAAAAATACTTATGTCCTGTGGCCCTCTGTCGGCCAGGCTGGAGTGTAATAGCATGATCTCTGCTCACTGCAGCCTCTGTCTCCTGGGCTCAAGCAATTCTCCTGCTTCAGCCTCCCGAGTAGCTGGGATTACAGGCATGTGCCACCACACCCAGCTACTTTTTGTATTTTTAGTAGAGACGGGGTTTCACTATGTTGGCCAGGCTGGTCTTGAACTCCTGACCTCAGGTAATCCGCTGCCTTGGCCTCCCAAAGTGCTGGGATTTACCTATTGGTTTACCTCTGGAAAGAAAAAATCCCTTTGAAGATGTTCAGTGTAGCCTTATTCAATAACAAAAACTCAGTAATCAGAGAAACATCTTCACTATTCCATTTTTTTACAGATATTACATTTAATCAAAACTGCATGGAAAAATGAAAAATATTTATTATGTATTGTTAAGTAGACAAAAAACCCCACCTGTAGATAAAAATCATGTACATATTATCATTCCAATGAAGAAAAATGTGTGTCTCTGTAGACGAGGACAAGAATTAGATACACAAAAATGAAAATAGCTTTGTTAGGGTTGGGATTTTGGGATGCCTTGCTGTTATTGTTGTTTTCATTTTTAAAAGTTGGGGCTGTGCAGAGTGGCTCTCACCTGTAATTCCAGCACTTTGGGAGGCGGAGGCAGGAGGATCACTTGAACCCAGGAGTTTGAGACCAGTCTGGACAACATAGCGAGACCCCATCTCTACAAATTAAAATATTAGCTGGGCATAGTGGCAACCCACTGTGGTCTCAACTACTCGGGAGGCTGAGGTGGCAGGATTGCTTAAGCCTGGGAGGTCAAGGTTGCAGTGAGCCAGGATCATGCCACTGCACTTCAGCCTGGGGGACAGAGTGAGACCCTGTCTAAAAATTAAATAAATAAAATAAAAAAAATTGGGAGGAAATCCTCCAAGGTTTGTAGGATCCACATCACAGGCACTTTCTCAACCAAAGTCCCTTTCCTGGCTGAAATCGGTGTCCCCTGGATCACTCTGGATGCCCCATTCTCTGGGTCTGGGCTCTGCCTGCCCCTATGAAACAAGGGCATGTCTACGCCCCTCTGAATGTGGACAACCAGCCCAGTAGCTTTCCAAGAGCTCCAGCAGAAGCTTCTCCCTCAGTACTTGAAGCAGCTTTGAGGCCTTTGAGACAGCCACCTCTACAGCACCAGGCCCCAGGTGGCAGAACCTGTCCTCCAGATAAATGATGACTGCAGAACCCCGATTAAGCAGCTTTGGTCTAGTTCCCAGGGCTGCCAGGACATCTCAGCAGTCAGGACTGAGACTACAACCCTACAGCCAGGAGACGAGCTTCCAGGGCTCAAACTAGAGGAGTCTGAGGTTCTGATCCAAACTCAGTTCCCTTCAAGTCCTGGCCAGGGGATGGGTACTGGAAGCTCCCGCAGGAGCCAGAAGACTGCCCACAGCTGTCCTGGGGAGCTAGGCCACCCCTGGAAGCCAAGCTACCTAGGCCCTGGGGCCTTGTCCGGAGAAGAACTCCACCCCTTCCTGCCCCATGTCTGCACCGGGGGCTCCAGACTGGGCTCTGAGGCCCCTCCACAACCCGCCCAGAGAGCTGCTTAAGAGTGTGTGTGTGTGTGTGTGTGTGTGTGTGTGTGTGTGTACATGTGAGGTTGCAATATGTGTGGGTATGCATGTGTGTGCAATGTGAGTGTCCAATATGTGTGTGTGCATGAGTGTGCAATATGTGTAGGTATGCATATGATGTGCAATCTGAGTGTCCAATATGTGTGTGCACATGTGAGTGTGCAATGTGTATGCATATGAGTGTGCAATGTGTGTCCAATATGTGTGTGCGCATATGAGTGTGCAGTATGTGTGCATGCATGTGAGTGTGCAATGTGTGTGCACATGAGTGTGCAATGTGAGTGTATATATCTGAGTGTGCAATGTGTGTGATGTGAGTGTGCAGTGTGTGTGTGTACACATGGGCGGACTCCTCTTACGCCTTCTCTCAGGCGTTCAGTGATCATCTCTGTTCTGGTTTCCATGGGGACTGTCTTTGGGTCTTGACCATTAACTTAGAGATGGTGGCCCTTGTTATTCTTTCCCCAAGAGCCTGTTTATAGGACCTGAGCACCCATTGCTGTGGATGGTAACTACAAGAATAAGGTAAAAACCACCAGCACTTGTTTACGGAATGCTTCCACACCAGCTTGCTCTCTGTGCCTGCCTTCATTCCTACAGAAGGACAATCTCAGCACCAAGCCAACCTCAATGATGAAATCAACTCTACCTGTGATTTCCACGGAAAATTTTGTCCCACCTGTTATGTCACGATTTTTCTAGGATTCACAAAGATTTGCAAGAACACAGGAAGGAGTCACGGAGCGGGGGGCTTGGCATGTTGCTGGAAATTTCCCAGTAGACCTGTTTCCTTGGCTGCAGCTCTTCTCTCTCCTGCAGGGTCGCCACCACTCTGGGCACATGAATCAAAGCACTCGCCTTCCCGAGGAGGGTCTCTTTCAGGCAGGGGTTCTCCTACCCCGCTGTCATGGCGATGTGGTTCGTTATCCCGGAAGCAAGGGGACCTCATTTCATTTATACTGTAATAAAACTCGTATTGATTTTAATAAAATTGAAAAATCTCTTTGTGGATGAAAACCCTGGGGCCCCACCCCGTAACTGCTGACTTACTGCATTTTCTGTACACCATGGACATGATGATTCATGCCTGGGCACCGCTGCGGTCGAGGGCTGATTTCCCCGGTAGAATAAATGTGAACTATAAAAAAGTTGCACATTTGAGTGCCTCCCAAGGGCTTTTGGTGGGTCCTGGCTGGGAGGGAGAAAATTTTTCCACTGGGGCGGTCAGAGCCACCAGAACAGCAAGGAGACAGCTTAGGGAAGGGACAGAGACAGCGGTTATCACTCCACTCATGACACCTCGGTCCCCAGCCCCTCTCCCTCTGCTGGAGAACCCGGCAGCTCATTCCTCACGATCAATGCCTTGTCTGGATCGCAGACTGCATGTCTCAAACTGAACTCCAGGTCCTCTGCACCGGAACACCCCCAGCTAGGTGCTCAAACGAGAAACCTGATGCTGGGATGCTGTCAGCTCTCAGCAACGGAGGTAGAATCGACAACTTGCTTAGTCATATCCCCTCCTCAGGGAGAATATTCACGATGTTCACAGGTTTCTACCCCATCACAATCTGGAGGGTCTGAAGGGCTTGTGATGAGCCAGACACTGTGCTAGGTACTTGGCCTGTATTACTGGGTTTATTGTGCAACAGAGGCGGGTTTGTCCTGCGAGGCCCAGAGAGGTTAGGAGGACTGTGACCACTCTGGTGTTGGGCAACTGGGCAGCCCGGCTCCAAAGCCAGGGGACTCCCCACAGTGCCCTGCCGCCTCTCAAGCCCATCTTTTCCACAGAAGGGCGCTTCCCCCTCTAAGCTGCAGACTCCCCCAGCAAAGGATTTCCTTGAGATAGGAGCTAGCTCCGGATATGCCGTCTTAAGGGAAATAAAAAGTTATTTTCATATTCCACTCATTCAGCAGGACATAATACATAGACTGAATAAAAATAGGAGACCAGGATCCAGCGTTAACATTACGAGGCCAGAGGCCAGGATGGGACTGCGGCATTCTCAGAATTGTGTTATGGGAGTGGGTGGCCTCCAGACAAGGCATCCGTGCCCTGGTGCCAGCTCTGGTGTAGACGCTCAGCCTGTTCCCCTTCTTGGAGCACCCCTCCTGCCCCACACAGGACTACAGGTGCGTATCACCGTGCCTGGCTAATTTTTGTATTTTTTATAGAAATGGGGTCTCCCTGTGTTGCCCTGGCTGGTCTCAAACTCCTGAGCTCAAGTGATCCTCCCACCTCAGACTCCTAAAGTGCTGGGATTACAGGTGTGAGCCACCGCACCCAGCCTCCTTTGTCAATTTTTAAATGTATACATCCATTCTTGATTTGTTTACTCATTCATATACTCATCCATTTATTCTTTTCTTTATTGAGGCACAATAAATAGTACACATTAAAGAGCACAGTTTGATAAGTTCTCTTTTTTTTTTGAGACGGACTTTTGCTCTTGTCACCCAGGCTGGAGCGCAGTGGCATGATCTCGGTTCACTACAACCTCTGCCTCCCAGGTTCAAGCAATTCTCCCACCTCAGCCTCCCGAGTAGCTGGAACTACAGGTATGTGCCACCACGCCCAGCTAATTTTTGTATTTTTGGTAGAGACAGGGTTTCACTGTGTTGGCCAGGCTGGTCTCGAAATCCTGACCTCACTCAGATTATCCACCCGCCTTGGACTCTCAAAGTGTTGGGATTACAGGCATAAGCCACCATGTCTGACCCTATGTTTAATTTTTTTAATTGAAATTTTTATTCAGGTAATTGTAGAATCACATGCAGTTTTAAGAAATAATATGGAGAGATCTCATGTAAGATCTTTTTAAGACTTTTTAAGCGATCTTAAGACCGTTTAAGACTTTTTAAGACTCATTTTTCTCCTATAATAACAATTTGTAAAATTATGGTACAATATCAAAGACTGGATATTGACATTGATCTAATTTATCAATATTATTCTGGTTTCCCCAGTTTTAGATGTACTAATTTGTGTGTCTGTGTGTGTATTTAGTTATACACAATTTTATCACATGTGGAGTTTCGATACCACTATAGCCAAGATCCTGAGCAATTCCATCGGAACCATGATCCCTGTCTTGTCTTTCCGTAAGTATAGATCCCTTCTCCTGTTCTTCCCCCATTCCTAACCCCAGGCAATCACTCATTTTTTCTCTATTTCTAAAACTTTGTCATTTCAAAAATGT
Source organism: Homo sapiens (assembly GCF_000001405.40). NCBI lineage: Eukaryota > Metazoa > Chordata > Mammalia > Primates > Hominidae > Homo > Homo sapiens. The sequence goes on along the minus strand of NC_000017.11, from coordinate 6,230,529 downwards.
AATATAAATGGAACCATGCAGTATATGCCCTCTTGGCGCTGGATCTTATCATTCATCATGATTTCCTGGAGATTCTTCCAAGATGTTGCCTATAATCAGTAATTCACTGCTTCTTTTTTTTAAAAAAAAAAAATTTCATTATTTTTTTTTTGAGATGGAATCTTACTCTGTTGCCCAGTCTGGAGTGCAGTGGCATGATCGTGGCTCACTGCAACCTCTGCCTTCCGGGTTCAAGTGATTCTCCTGCCTCAGCCTCCTGAGTAGCTGGGATTACAGGTGCATGCCACCACACCTGGCTAACTTTTGTATTTTTAGTAGATACGGGGTTTTGCTATGTTGGCCATGCTAGTCTCGAACTCCTGACCTCAGGTAATCTGCCCGCCTTGGCATCCCAAAGTGGTGGGATTACAGGTGTGAGCCACCATGCCCAGCCTCTTTTTTTTTTTTTTTTTTTTTAATAGAGATGGGGGCCACACTATGTTAACCAACTCCTGGCCTCAAGTAATCCTCCCATCTTGGCCTCCCAAAGTGCTGGGATTACAGGCGTGAGCCACTGCGAATTCACAGCTTTTTTTTTTCTTTTTCCTGAGATAGAGTCTGACTCTGTTGTCCAGGCTGGAGTGCAGTGGTGCGATCTCGGCTCATTGCAACCTCTGCCTCCCAGGTTCAAGCGATTGTCCTGCCTCAGCCTCCTGAGTAACTGGGATTACAGGTGTGAGCCACTGCACTCGGCCAAATTCACTGCTTTTTATTGTCCAGTGGAATTCCATGTTATAAATGTACCAGCTTGTTTTTCCACTCATCTGTTGAAGGACATCTGGGTTGATTGATTCCAGTTTTTGGCTGTTATGCATAAGGCTGCTGTGAACATGTATGTACAGGTTTCCGTGTGAACACATTTTCATTTCTCTGGGATAAATGTCTAAGAGTGCAATTGCTAGGTTGTGTGGTGGTTGCATGCTTAATTTTATAAGAAACTGCTACATTGTTTTCTAGGGTGGCTGTACTGTTTTACATTTCCACCAGCAATGCACGAGATAGCTAGTTTCTCCAGCTCCTTGCCAGCACTGGTGTTGGTCTGTATGAACTTTATATTTTGTCACTGTTTTTTAATTGTAGCCGTTGTGATGATGGATGTTTGGTGATATCTCACTGTGGTTTTAATTTGCATTTCCCCAATGGCTAATGATGGTGAACATCTTTTCATGTGCTCATTTGCTATCTATATATCTTCTTTGATGAAATGTCTAATAATGTCTTTTGTTCCTTTTCTAAGTGGATTGCGTATTTGTTTTTTACTGTAGAGTTTTGAAATTCTTTTATATATTATAGACAACAGTCCTTTCTTGAATACATTATGTGCAAAGACAGTATGTATCTTGTCTATTTATCCTTTAAACAAGGTCTTTCACAAAGCAAAAACTTTCAATTTTGGTGGAGTCCAACATAAATTTTTTCTGTATCAATTTTCTGTATCATGCTTCTGGTGTCAACTCCAACAATTTTTTTTTGCCTAGCCTTGTATTCTGCAGACTTTCTCCATTGTTTTCTAAAAGTCTTATAGTTCTGCATTTTACATTAAACCCCAAACTCGGCTGGGCGCGGTAGCTCACGCCTGTAATCCCAGCACTTTGAGAGGCCAAGGCGGGCAGATCACCTGAGGTCCGGAGTTCGAGACCAGCCTAACCAACATGAAGAAACCCCGTCTCTACTAAAAATACAAAATTAGCTGGGCATGGTGGCGCATGCCTGTAATCCCAGCTACTCTGGAGGCTGAGGTAGGAGAATGGTTTGAACCCGGGAGGCGGAGGTTGCTGTGAGCCGAGATTGCGCCATTGCAGTCCAGCCTGGGCAAGAAGAGCGAAACTCCATCTTAAAAAAAAAAAAAAAAAAAAAACCCAAACTCACCTCCATAAGTTTAGAGTTTATTTCTGTATAGACTTTATATTTTGTATATGATGAAGTTTAGGTTGAGGCTCAATATTTTGCCAATGCATGTCTTTTCTTCCCTGAATTGCTTCGGCACCTTTGTCACAAGTAAGTTGAGTATATTTTTGTGGGTCTATTTCTAGATTCTCTTTTCTGTTCCATTGATCTGTGTGTCTATCTCCTCACCCATACCACGTTATCCTGATTACTATAACAATAATATTGAATAGAGTAATCTCTCCCACTCTATTCTTTTTTTTTTTTTTTTTTTGAGACAGAGGCTGGAGTGCACTGGCACAATCTCAGCTCACCGCAAGCTCCACCTCCTGCGTTCAGGCCATTCACCTGCCTCAGCCTCCCAAGTAGCTGGGACTACAGGTCCCACCATGCCTAGCTAATTTTTTGTATTTGTAGTAGAGACGGGTTTTTAGTATTTTTATGTTAGCCAGGATGGTCTCAATCTCCTGACCTCATGATCCGCCTGCCTCGGCCTCCCAAAGTGCTGGGATTACAGGTGTGAGCCACCGCGCCCGGCCCACTCTATTCTTCTTTAGAAGACTTTTAGCTATTTTAGAATCTGTGCCTTTTCAAATAAATTTTAGAATAAGCTTGTCTATGTCCACTAAAACCTTGCTGGGATTTCAATGGAAATTGCATTAAACCTGTAGAACAATGCAGGGAGAATGAATACCTTTAAGATGCCGAATTTTCTAATACATGAACACAGCATCTCTGTTTATTTAGATTTTCTTTGATGTCTTTCATCAGGATTTTGTAATTTTTCATATACAGATTCTGTACATGTTTTGTTTAATATATACCTAAGTGTTTCATTATCTTCGAAGTAGTTGTAAATGACATTATGCTTTTAATTTCAGTTTCTGTGTATTCATTGTTTTTTTTTTTTTTTTATTTCATCCCTGGATACTTTATTATAAATCTCAATGACTTTAAACATAAACTACAATGTCATTATCATACCTAACAATGTTTCTTAATATCTTATGTCTACTCCACGTTCAAAGTTTGCCAGGTGCTTAAAAATTTTTATTGTTAATTCGCTTAAATCAGTATCCACACAGAGTCTATACATTGCATATTTTTGGTCTTGTTTCAGTTTTTTAAAGTATCTTTTAATTTTTAAAGAAAGACCCCTTTCTTTTTTTAAATGCCATTTGTTTATTGACTAAAGTAGTTCATTTGTTATATAGAATTTCCCATATTCTGAATTTGGTTAATTGTTTCCTAGTGGTGGTTGACTTATTCTTAAAACTTTTTTTTTCAGGAACACTTCCTAATGGTCCTTCCTGTTGCATCATATCAGGAGGTCCATAACGTCTGGTCATCCACTTTTAGTGATTGGAATAAGTAGTTGTTAATTTTTTTTTAATTGTTCCATGGAATAGGGCATTTTCGTTCTATCTTTCTCTTTGGCATTGGCTGTTTTCTTTTTTTTTTTTTTTAATTTAAATGTGGTATGTTTATTCAGTTCTTTTTTTTTTATTTTTATTTTTTTATTTTTTTTTATTGATCATTCTTGGGTGTTTCTCGCAGAGGGGGATTTGGCAGGGTCATAGGACAATAGTGGAGGGAAGGTCAGCAGATAAACAAGTGAACAAAGGTCTCTGGTTTTCCTAGGCAGAGGACCCTGCGCCCTCCGCAGTGTTTGTGTCCCTGGGTACTTGAGATTAGGGAGTGGCGATGACTCTTAACGAGCATGCTGCCTTCAAGCATCTGTTTAACAAAGCACATCTTGCACCGCCCTTAATCCATTTAACCCTGAGTGGACACAGCACATGTTTCAGAGAGCACAGGGTTGGGGGTAAGGTCACAGATCAACAGGATCCCAAGGCAGAAGAATTTTTCTTAGTACAGAACAAAATGAAAAGTCTCCCATGTCTACTTCTTTCTACACAGACACGGCAACCATCCGATTTCTCAATCTCTTCCCCACCTTTCCCCCCTTTCTATTCCACAAAGCCGCCATTGTCGTCCTGGCCCGTTCTCAATGAGCTGTTGGGCACACCTCCCAGACGGGGTGGTGGCCGGGCAGAGGGGCTCCTCACTTCCCAGTAGGGGCGGCCGGGCAGAGGCGCCCCTCACCTCCCGGACGGGGCGGCTGGCCGGGCGGGGGGCTGACCCCCACCTCCCTCCCGGACGGGGTGGCTGCCGGGCGGAGACGCTCCTCACTTCCCAGACGGGGTGGCTGCCAGGCGGAGGGGCTCCTCACTTCTCAGATGGGGCGGTTGCCAGGCAGAGGGTCTCCTCACTTCTCAGATGGGGCGGCCGGGCAGAGACGCTCCTCACCTCCCAGACGGGGTCGCGGCCGGGCAGAGGCGCTCCTCACATCCCAGATGGGGCGGCGGGGCAGAGGCGCTCCCCACATCTCAGACGATGGGCGGCTGAGCAGAGACGCTCCTCACTTCCTAGATGGGATGGTGGCCGGGAAGAGGCGCTCCTCACTTCCTAGATGGGATGGCGGCTGGGCAGAGACGCTCCTCATATCCCAGACGGGGTGGCGGCCGGGCAGAGGCTGCAATCTCGGCACTTTGGGAGGCCAAGGCAGGCGGCTGGGAGGTAGAGGTTGTAGCTAGCCGAGATCACGCCACTGCACTCCAGCCTGGGCACCATTGAGCACTGAGTGAACGAGACTCTGTCTGCAATCCTGGCACCTCGGGAGGCCGAGGCTGGTGGATCACTCCGGTTAGGAGCTGGAGACCAGCCCGGCCAACACAGCGAAACCCCGTCTCCACCAAAAAAATACGAAAACCAGTCAGGTGTGGTGGCGCGCGCCTGCAATCGCAGGCACTCGGCAGGCTGAGGCAGGAGAATCAGGCAGGGAGGTTGCAGTGAGTTGAGATGGCAGCAGTACAGTCCAGCTTCGGCTCGGCATCAGAGGGAGACCGTGGAAAGAGAGGGAGACCGTGGGGAGAGGGAGACCGTGGGGAGAAGGAGAGGGAGCGGGAGCGGGAGCGGGAGCTGGCTGTTTTCATTGATAAAATAGTTATAATTTTTTTTTTTTTTTTTTTGAGACGGAATCTCGCTCTGTCACCCAGGCTGGAGTGCAGTGGCGCCATCTTGGCTCACTGCAACATCCACCTCCCGGGTTCAAGCGATTCTCCTCATTGTTAATATATAAAGATGCAATCGGTCTTTGTGTTTTGATCTTTTATCCTGCAAACTTGCTGAACTCCTTTATTGATTCTAGAGTATTTTTGTTGCTTCCTTGAGCTTTTGTACATACATAATCATGTCATCTGCAAATAGAGGCAGTTTTACCTCTTCCATTGCAACCTGTATGTCTTTTGTATGTTTTTCTTTTCCTGCCTTATGCAGTATCTAGAACTAGTGCTATGTCAAATCAGAGAGGTGAGAAAAGACATTCTTTTCTTGTTCCTGTATCTTAGGGAGAAAGTATAATGTCTTTAACCATTAATTATTACGTTAGCTATCGGGTTTCTTCATAGAGGTTTTCATCAAGTTCCTAACTTTTGGGGTCTTAAAAAAATTAAGAATGAGTGTTGGATTTTCTCAAATGCTTTTTCTGAATTAATTGATATGATTACGCAGTTTTTCTTCTTTATCTTGTTAATAGGGCAGATTATATTGATTATTTATTTATTTATTCATTTTTCTTTTAAGACAGGATCTCCCTCTGTTGCCTACACTGGAGTGCATGGCTCATTGCAACCTCCACCTCCCAGGCTCAAGCAACCTCCCACCTCAGCCTCCCAAGTAGCTGGGACTCCAGGCATGCACCATCACGCATTGCTAATTTTTTTGTATTTTTTGTAGAGATGAGGTTTTGCCACGTTGCCCAGGCTGGTCTCAAACTCCTGAGCTCAAGCAAACTGCCTGCCTCGGCCTCCCAAAGTACTGGAATTGCAGGCATGAGCCACTGCACCTGGCCTATTGATTGATATTTCAAATGTTAAACCAACCTTTCACACCTGGGATAAATACCACTTGGTCATAACTTATAATGACCTTCATACATTTTTAGGTTGACCTTGCTAATACTTTGTTGAAAATTTTTGCATCAAATTCATGAGAGATATTAGTCTGGTGTTTTTTTTTTTTTTTTTTTTTTTTTTTTGGGTTTCCCTGCGTTGGACAGGCTAGTCTTGAACTCCCAACCTCGTGATCCACCCACCTCGGCCTCCCAAAGTGCTGGGATTACAAGCATGAGCCACCACCGCACCTGGCCCCTATTTCACTCTTGATATTGGTGATTTGTGTTTTCTTTCATTTTTGTCAATCTTTCTAAAGATTTGCAAATTTTATTGATGTTTTTGAAGAAGCAGATTTTTCTCTATTGTTTTCCTGTTTTTGATTTCATTGAGTTCTGCTGTAATCTTTATTTCCTCTCTTATTCCTGCTCTGAGTTTATTTTGCTCTTTTTTTTCCCCCCAAGTTTCTTGAGGTAGCAACTTATATTATTGATTTGAGGTTTTTCCTTTTTTTTTTTTTTTTTTTTTTTTTTTGACAGAGTCCTGCTCTGTCGCCAGGCTGGAGTGCAGTAGCACGATCTTGGCTCACTGCAACCTCTGCCTCCTGGGTTCAAGCGATTCTCCTGCCTCAGCCTCCTGAGTAGCTGGGATTACAGGCAGGCACCACCACGCCCAGCTAATTTTTGTATTTTTAGTAGAGACAGGGTTTCACCATGTTAGCCATGCTGGTCTTGATCTCTTCACCTTGTGATCCACCCGTCTCGGCCTCCCAAAGTGCTGAGATTCCAGGTGTGAGCCACTGCGCCCGGCTGTTTTTCCTCATTTCTTGTGTAAGCATTCAGTGCCATTAAATTCCCTCTCAGGGCTGCTTTATCTGCATTCCACATATTTTGTTGTGTTGTATTTTTATTTTCATTTAGTCTATTGAGACTTCTTTGTCTTATAGATTATTGAGAAGTTTAAATTATTTTAATTTCCACCTATTTAGAGATTTTCCTGTTACAATTCTGTCGTATTTAAGGCTCCCGGCCTTAAATAACCTTTTAAAACTGAGATTTGTTTTTGTTTTTGTTTTCTCATTTGTTTCAAGAGAATTTGTAATTTACCATTGATGGATCTTTGTGATGGCTCCTTTAAAATCCTTGTCAGAGAATCCTGCCATATGACTCATCTCACTGTTGGCATCAGTTGGTTGTCTTTTCTTACTCAAATTGTGGTTTTTGTGGTTCTTGGTGGGATGAGTCATTTTTGGTTATAGCCTGCACATGTCATCATTTATGTTAGGAGACACTGGGTGGTATTTGAATTTTTTATTTTAACAGGTGCCACTCTGTTTAGGATTAGCATGCTGGTCCTAACTTACTATATATATATATATATATATATATATATATATATTTTTTTTTTTTTTTTTTTTTTTTACTTTAAGTTCTAGGGTACATGTGCACAATGTGCAGGTTTGTTACATATGTATACATGTGCCATGTTGGTGTCCTGCGCCCACTAACTCGTCATTTACATTAGGTATATCTCCTAATGCTATCCCTCCCCCCTCCCCCCAACTCAGCAAACTATTGCAAGGACAAAAAAACAAACACCGCATGTTCTTACTCATAGGTGGGAACTGAACAATGAGAACATTTGGACACAGGAAGGGGGACATCACACACTGGGTCCTAACTTACTTTTTGTGGGATACAGTTCCAGTGATGGTTTAACTTTCAGAACTTCTGTGGTGTTATTTTGGTCGGTTTGGTTTATTTGGTCCTGCTATTGCTCCCACTAGTTCCTGCTAAAGCTGTCTTCCACTGTCAGCGGAAGCCTTCTTGTTGTATATTCACATAGCAAAGAGAGAGAGTGAGCTCTGGTCTCTTCCTCTTTCAGCTGATAAGGGCACTAATCTTATTATGGGGGCCCCATCCTCACGATCTCATCTTAACCTAATCACTTCCTAAAGACTTCATCTCCAAATACCATCACATTGGGGATTAAGGCTTCAAAATATAAATTTTAAGGAACACAAACATTCATAATATGGTGCAAGAGAAACATCAAAGTTCATTTTTTTGCACATGTACATCCAATTGTTCTAGCACTGCTTGTTAAAAAGACTATCCTTTATCCATTGAATTGCTTTTGCACGTTTGTCAAAATTCAATTATCCGTATGTGTGTTCACTTATTTTTGGATTCTGTATTCTGTTCTGTTGATCTGTTTGTAACACCATAGTGTGTTGATGGCTGTAGCTTTATAATAACTCTTGAAATTAGAAAATATTAGCCCTCCAACTTTGTTCTTCATTTTCAAAGTTGTTTTGACCCCCCCACGTCTTTTGCATTTTCATATGAATTTCTGATTCATTTTGGTAGCTTCTCTTTTAAAAAGCTTGCTGGAATTTTAACTGGGATTGTATTGAATTTAAAGTTCATTTTGGGGAGAATTAACGTCTTAACAGTATTGAGTCTTTTTGTCTATGAACACAATATATCTCTCCTTTTATTTAGGTCATCTTTAATGTTTCTCATGAATGTTTTACAGTTTTCAGTGTACACGTCTTGTATGTCTTTTGTCAGATTTATCTCTATTTATTTCATGTTTTGATGCTATTGTAATATTATTTCTTAGTTTCTCTTTCTGATTGTTGCTAGTATATAGAAATAGAGTTGATTTCTGAATTTTGACTATATCCTACAACCTTGCTAAAGTCGCTTTTTAGTTATCCTGCTTTTTTCGGTAGATTTTCATAAAACGTTTTTCCACAGACAATAATGTCGTGTGCAAATAAAGACAATTTCAATTCTTCCTTTCCACTCTGGATGCCTTTTATCTTTTTCTTGACTTACTTCACTGATTAGAACCTTCAGTGGAATGTTTACTAAAAATGGTGAAAGCAGTCATCTTTGCCTCGTTCCTTTATTGGATTGAGGAAATATTCTTCTATTCCTAGGGTTTTTTTTTTTTTTTAAATCAGGAATTGATGTTGGATTTTGTCAAATGCTTTTTCTGCCTCTATTGAAATGATCGTAGAGTTTTACTTTTTAAGTGTTTGTTGTCATGATAAATAATTGTTTTTTTAAAAAAAATGCTTAACCATTTTGCATGCTTGGATAAATTTTACTTGGTTATCATATATTATTCTTTTAATATATTGTTGGATTAAATTTGCTAAAATTTTATAAGAAATTTTGGAATCTATATTCATAAAAATATTGATTTGTAGTTTTCTTTTCTTTAATGTCTGTATCTGTTTTTGGTATCAGGGTAATGCTGGCCTAATAAAATAAGTTAAGAATAATCTTTTAAATTTTCTGAGAGTTTCAGTTGAATTCATATTATTTCTCCCTTAAGTGTTTGGTAGAATTTACAAATGAAGTCATTTGGGCCTGGAGTTTTCTTTGTGAGAAGACTTTTTATTTAAAAACAAACAAATAATTCAATTTCTTTAATAGATTTTGGGCTCTTCAAATGACCTAGTACTTCTCAACTGATAATTTGTACTTTAGATTTTTCCAAGAAGTTATACGTTTCATCTAAGATGTCAAATTTATTGGAATATAGTCATTCATGATATTTTCCCATTATCTTTTTAATATCTGTAGAATTGATGAATGCTACCTCTATTGGTAATTTTTGTCTTCACTCTTTTTTTCCTGATCAGTCTATCTAGAATGCATCTTCTTAAGGAACTGGCTTTTGGTTTTACTAATTTTCTCTATTGTTGCTCTGCTTCTAATCCCACTGGCTTTTGCTCTGATCTTTTTTATTACTTTGTTTTGCTTACTTTGGATTTAATTGGCCCTTCTTTTTCTAGTTTTTTAAGGTGGAGGCTGAGATCATTGATCTGAATGACTTGAAACTTTCCATCTTTTCTAATGCAGGTGTTTAGTGTTACACGTTTACCTCCAAGTACTACTTTGGCAGCACCCAACACGTTTTGATATGCTGTGTTTTTATTTAGCTGGAAATGCTTTTTAATTTCCTTTTTGATTCCTTCTTTGACCCATCATTATTTAGAACTGTGTTATTTAGTCCACAAGTATTTAGGGACTTTCCCAATACTGCTCTATTATTGATTTCAAATTGATTCTATTGTGGTCAGAAAACATACTTTGTATAACTAGAATCTTTAAAAATTTGTAGAGACATTTGTTATGGCCCAGAGTATTCCATATGCACTTGAAAAACTGTGTATTCTGTAGTTGTTAGGTCGCACACTTTTATTATTTATTTTTATTTTTTGAGATGGAGTTTCACTCTTGTTGCCCAGGCTGTAGTGCAATGGTGTGATCTCAGCACACTGCAAACTCTGCCTCCCAGGTTCAGGCGATTTTCCTGCCCCAGCCTCCCAAGTAGCTGGGATTACAGGTGCCTGCCACCATGCCTGGCTAATTTTTGTATTTTTAGTAGAGACAGGGTTTTACCATGTTGGCTAGGCTGGTCTCGAACTCCTGACCTCAGGTGATCCGCCCACCTCGGCCTCCCAAAGTGCTGGGATTACAGGTGTGAGCCACTGCGCCCAACCAGGCCGCACACTTACTGTTAGGTTGGGGACATTATTGTAAGCATACATCTGAGCTTAGTCCAGCTTATGTGCCATGAAGGCTCTGTCTGATGTTTAAGTACAAACTGCCAGGACCACTCATGGATTCTTTCTCCCTTATCCACTCGGACAACTACACACTCACAATTTCCTTGGCTGATTTTGTCAGAGGATGGGAGGTGAGCTGCATCCCAATACATCATCGTCCCATTCCAACCTTTCCCTAAAGAAACAATATTCTTGTCTCCTCCCATGCCTTGTACTTCTCCTCACTCTCTCCCGCAAGACAAGAACAGAGCTTCACTGGGGTCTTGGCGAAGAGAAACAAGTCCTCGCTTTTTTTTTTTTTTTTGGACGGAATCTTGCTCTGTTGCCAGGCTGGAGTGCAGTGGTGCAATCTCAGCTCATTGCAACCTCCACCTCCCAGGTTCAAGCGATTCCCCTGCCTCAGCCTCCCAAGTAGCTGGGATTACAGGTACCTGCCACCACACCCAGCTAATTTTTTGTATTTTAGTAGAGATGGGGTATCACCATGTTGGCCAAGTTGGTCTCGATCTCCTGACCTCATGGTCCACCCGCCTCGGCCTCCCAAAATGCTGGGATTACAGGCGTGAGCCACCGCGCCCGGCTAATTTTTTCTATTTCAGTAGAGATGGGATTTCACATGTTGGCCAAGATGGTCTCGATCTACTGACCTCGTGATCTGCCTGCCTCAGCCTCCCAAAGTGCTGGGATTATAGGCGTGAGCCACTGCACCCGGCCAAGTCCTCGCTTTTTATTGCAACTCAGAAGAGGGAGCATTCTTGGCCTTGTCTTGGCAGACATGCATCACATGCTTAAATACATAAACATAAGCTGGGATGAGTGTTATGAGAAAAAGCTTCATAACGCTATGAGAAAATAGAGCATGAGGGCCTGGCCTAATCTATGGGATCATAAGAATGTCATTTGAGCTGAGAGAGCAAGGAGGAATAGGATTCAAGTGAGGAATAGATGTGGGGTATGGAAAAGGAGAAAATATAGGCCAGGCGTGGTGGCTCATGCCTATAATTCCAGCACTTTAGGAGGCCAAGGCGGTAGGATCACCTGAAGTCAGGAGTTCAAGATCAGCCTGGCCAACATGGTGAAACCCCGTCTCTACTAAAAAATACAAAAATTAGCCAGGTGTGGTGGTGGGCGCCTGTAATCCCAGCTACTTTAGAGGCTGAGGCAGGAGAATCGCTTGAACATGGGAGGCAGAGATTGCAGTGAACCGAGATCATGCCATTGCACTCCAGCCTGGGCAACAAGAGCGAAACTTTGTCTAAGAAAAAAAAAATAAAAGGGAGAAGATATAACGTGTAGAGGTGTAGAGGGAGAGGCATGTGGAAAGGACCTCTGGCTGGAGAAACAGAACAAGACAGCATGGCTGGTGCACAGAGACTGAGACTGAGACCGGGGAAGCAGGCAGGGCCCAGGTCACGCAAAGTCCTGTTGGCCACAAGAAAGATTTTGTTCGTCCTCTGAATGGTTTTGAGACGAAGAGGGTTGCATGATCACATTTGTATCTTGAAGACTGCTTTGTGGAGAAAGGTTAGAGCAGGTGAGAGTGAAGCTGAAGAGACGGGTTAGCAGGCTAATGCAGAAACCTGGCCAGACATGAAGGCAGCTTAGGCTGGGGTTGTGAGGGTGGAGAGACAGAACAGTGGCAGAGAATTTGGTAGGTGCAACTGACCAGGTCCCGGCCAAAGTCTTGGCGGGACATCAACATGGAGTATGAAGGACAGGGCACTGCAAAGAGTGAGGCTCAAGTTTCTGAGCCATCCACTAGGATAGAAAAGAAGTCAAAGTTTAGAGAGAAAGATCATGAGTTCAGTTTTGGGTTTGTAGAGTCTGCGGTACTTTTGTGATATCATGTAGATAGGCAGATATGCAAGTCAGGAGCCCAGAGGAAAGCAAGATCAGAGATACACATGAGGGAATTATGAGCCTAAAAGTGCTGATTAAAGTCACAGCATGACTACGATTACCTGGGGGGAAGTGTAGTTTCAGAAGAGAAAAGTAACAGAGAAAGCAGAGATGCTGGAGGCTAACCGTGAGTGAATGTGAGATACAGAAATGCAAAAACATTAGAAGAAAATAGAGGGGAAAAAAATGAGACTATAATTCTGGGAAAGGAAAGCCTTCCCATGCAAATCACAAAATCTGGAAGCCATAAATGAAAAGACAATCAAATCCGAATTCTTTAAAAATTTAAAATTTCTAAACAAGAAAGACACCACAAAGTTAACAGCAAAGCAAAGTGAAAAGAAGTATTTGCAACATGTTTGAAAGACGAAGATGAAAATCCCTAAATTCCATAAGAAAAAAAGACAAAGAACTTAATAGAAAGCTGGGCAAAGGAATGATTAGACAATACCTAGAAAAAAAGACGCACCAAACCCCTAAATGCAGGGAGGTGTGTTCCACGTTCTTAGGAACCAGTTATGGGTAAATCAACAATGAGGGGCTTATGCCCATCAACTTGGCAAAAATTAAATGAAAGCGTTCCTAGTAATATAGGGAAACAGACACTTATATCCCATTGGCATATTATGCTTGGAGGGCAATTTGGTAGAATTTGTCAGAACTCCCACCAGCCATGTCTCATTCAGAATCTATATTAAAAGAAAACTCATACATATGTGCCAAGATGCATTTAGTTATAAAGAAATGCATCATGATTTTGTTTACAAAGGTTAAAAACAACTGGAAGCAGTATAAACCCATACATACTGTATATGTGTGGGTCTATATATTTATGTATGCATGCATATATAAACACTATATAAAAATACCATATAAATACATAAACTGTAACTATAAACTACATATCATAAAAAAAGAACCTTCACAAGGTCAGGAGTTCGAGACCAACCTGACCAACATAGTGAAAACCCCGTCGATACTAAAAATACAGAAAATTAGCCGGACATGGTGGCACACATCTGTAGTCTCAGCTACTCGGGAGGCTGAGGCAGGAGAATTGCTTGAACCTGGGAGGCGGAGGTTGTAGTGAGCCAAGATTGCACCATTGCACTCCAGCCTGGGTGACAGAGCGAGACTTTGTCTCAAAAAAAAAAAAGAACCTATTTGTGCGAAAAGGGTATACATGTTTATGAATATAGGATGGTGGTAACTAAGCGTTTGCCAGTGCCGTCTCTGAAAGAAGAAACAGGAACGCAGTGAGTTGAGTCATGGGAGGGTATAGAAGGGAGATTCACATTTTTCTCTGAAAACTTCTGAATTATTTGAATTAGGCATAACAAGAATGCATTCTTTTTTTTTCTTTTTCTTTTCTTTTATTTTTTAAACAGTCTCGCTCTGTCGCCCAGGCTGCAGTGCAGTGGTGCGATCTCGGCTCACTGCAACCTCCACCTCCTGGGTTCAAGTGATTCTCCTGCCTCAGCCTCCCGAGTAGCTGGAATTACAGGCACCTGCCACCAAGTCCAGCTAATTTTTGTATTTTTAATACAGACAGGTTTTCTCCATGTTGGTCAGGCTGATCTTGAACTCCAGACCTCAGATGATCTACCCACCTCGGCCTCTCAAAGTGCTGGGATTACAGGCGTGAGTCACTGCGCCCGGCCAAGAATGCATTCTCATATTAGCTACGTAACAAATAAATTACAAAAAATATAGAAAAGAGAAGTCCAGTCATGGTTTTCATAGAAAGGAGCCCTGAGAGGCCTGGCCACCTACTGGCTGGCTGGCTGCCTTTGCTCTGCCCTCCCAGCTAAAGAGTGGTCATTCTGGTGTCCTGCTGCCCGCCCTCAGTTCCCGTGTCCTTGGTTCTGGTGGCCCACCACATGGGGCAGGTGTGGAAGCTGGCAGCCTGCTGGAGCTGCCCCAAGAGGGAGGTGCCAGTCCCATTGAGAGCTCCCTGAACTCCTGTTTAAAAGCACGTGGACTCCCCCATTCGTTCACATAACCTGGCAGAATATTTTTCGAATAAATCATGAGCATGGCAGTTACATTCTCTAAACCACACTGGAAAAAGGATTATGGTATTTACTGTGGGGACAGTAAGATTGATTCTCGCCCAGAAAACCTGTCAGATTCTTGATTTAGGGAGCCGGGGATCAGCACAGGTTAGCTCTGATTTATATCGGCTTGCTTCTCCCACAGGTCTCTCTCCTGCTCTAGGGGACATTTTTGGGTGGGATGGGTCTGGAGCAGCCACTGTCCTGCTGGTCCCTTCCAAGATGGCCCACCAAGGCCATGGATGCAGCAGAGCTCACTGCTTCATAGCTAACTCCCACCATGCCCTCAGTTCCGCTCCCTGCTCCCCTGGCCGTGCCACCTGCTGCTCGAAGTCCAGCTCCTTAGCTAGAATTGCAAGACCTCCTTGATGGAGCTACTGCCACTTCTCCACTCTCTCCCATCACTTTCTGCTCATGGCATACCTTGAATGTGACTGACCCTTCCCTGTGAAGAGGAATGAGCAGAGAAACCAGAGAGGATCCCATTCTTGAGCAGCTCAGCATCTGATGCAAGACAGTGACATAGAGATCCTTGCTCCCATGTGCTTAGTTGCCTGATGAGTGGGCCTCGCAAGTGGGGCATGGAGGAGGCAGCATCCACACTGTTCCCCTAGGCCTCACCTCCTCTGCTCTCTATAGGCCAACAGTGAACCCAGGTCACCTTTGTCAAAACCCTTATCTCCTTTTACTCGTCAATCACTTATGCTGCTTCTGTGTTTCCTCCATGCCTAGTGTGACGTCTGGAACACCCTTGGACTCAATGGGCCTGGACAGAGTTATCAGTTGCTCTTGTGTCAGACCTAGCCCATTCTTGGAAATAAACATCTAGCTATCCAGAGACCACTAGGCTCTTCTTGTAGGAATCAATGAAGGGTCAGCGGGCAGGTGGAGCAGGTAACAGTAGCGTGTTCCCTCTGAGGTCAGATTTTCCTCTCCCATAAAAAGTCCCAGCCAGGCGCTGTGGCTCATGCCTGTAATCCCAGCACTCTGGGAGGCAGAGACAGGCGGATCACAAGGTCGGGAGATTGAGTCCACCCTGGCCAACATGGTGAAACCCCATCTCTACTAAAATACAAAAAAATTATCCAGGCGTGGTGGCATGCACCTGTAGTTCCAGCTACTTGGGAGGCTGAGGCAGAAGTATCACTTGAACTCAGGAGGCGGAGGTTGCAGTGAGCCAAGATTATGCCACTGCATTCCAGCCTGATGACAGAGCAAGGATCCATCTAAAAATAATAATAATAAAAAATAAGTCCCTAGAAAAGGACTCCCATTTCCCCAAGAAAATGAGGAATCTGCATCCATTTGCAGCAACGGTTCACGTAGAAGCAGGAAGTATTTCTCTATAGCTTCCATATCTTCCCATATGGGGGTGGGAGACAAGAGACTCTCAGAGCTACATGACTGGGTGCCACTATTTCCCAACTTGAGGGGTGAAAGAGAACCCTAAAAATTTTAATTTAAAAGATTTGTATGCTGGTCAATGGTGATCTCACAGTTCTCTCCAAGAACAACTGGTGAGTATTTATGTTACTAAAAAGCACATCACGATAATTTGCCTAAAATAAAGAAAGAGGTTACTCCCTCAAGATGGATGTAAGACTCTTAGGAGGAAAGATAAGGGTATTGTGACTTTTTCCATAGCAAAGCTTCCCCATTCCTCTGCTCAGCGCATTCAGGGTTCACGAATCTTAGTACCTGTGGTGAGAAGTAGGGCTCCCCCAACCATTACATCTCAGCCATTTTAGGAATTACAGACTCCCAGGTAGGAAGAAGCTCTGGAATTACCCAATCTGTCTCCATCAAATGACCTCTCAGGTCTGGCTTGCATGCCTTTTATGATGGAGAGCTCCCTCCTCCTAGACAAGTCCATCGCTGGTAAGCTCTGATGGTAGAATGGTCTTCCTAGCCTCCACACTGCCTCAGTCCCAGCCCTTGGGGCCACACAGAAGCCTATCGCTCTTCCTAGGACATCACTCCATGTTAGTGCGTCTTCTCTAGGCTGAGCACTCTGACTCCTACCCCCCACCCTCCTACCTCTCAGCCCCCAAGCCCAGTCCACAGTCTTCTGTAGTATGATGTCTCTAGTCCCTCCCCATGCTGGCCTCCTGGGGACATGGCCCATCAGCCTGGCTCCCACCTCACGGGGCAGAGCAGGGCATCACAGCTGCCACTCATATTCTGGAAAATACACTCCAAGTCAGCCTTGCTTCTCCTTAGCAATAGCTGGCACTTGTGTTATGAGCTGGCTCTGCAGGGCTTGTAGCTACGGACACCAGTATCAACACACACTCTCACTTGCACCTTCAAGTCCACAAGTACAATTCACCTGGTTTAAAGCAGAAGAAGACTGGGCACGGTGGCTCACGCCTGTAATCCTAGCACTTTGGGAGGAGGCTGGATCACAACGTCAGGAGTTCGAGACCAGCCTGACCAACATGGTGAAACCCCATCTCTACTGAAAATAAAATAATTAGCCAGGTGTGGTGGCATGCGCCTGTAATCCCAGCTACGCAGGAGGCTGAGGCAGGAGAATCACTTGAACCCGGGAGACGGAGGTTGCAGTGAGCCAAGATCGTGCCTTTGTACTCCAGCCTGGGTGACAGAGTGAGACTTCATCTCAAAAAAAAAAAAAAAAAAAAAAAAAAAGCAGAAGCAGATGACTCCAGTGGCAACACAATGAGAACTCTGGAAGATGGTGGCTGAACGCCTGTCCCCACCTCCCACTTGCCCACTGCCTCTCAACACCCTCTCCAGAGCAAGGCGGGAAGGGGCCTTGGTGAGTATCCTTGCAAACTGGATTGCCAGTTCTTTTGTGAGGAAGCAAACAAATTTACCAAAAACTATGTCTACACCAGTCAATTCATCATACAATCAATTTGGCCAATGACCAATTTGCAAATTATTTTTAAAATTTAAATTTTGCTGCAGTCATTTTGTCATTTTTTTTTCTTTTCCACCCGAGGCTGAATTGCTCACAGGTGTTGAGTTTGGGGGAGCGCTACCATTGACATGGTTCCCCTGGGAGCAGAGAGGCATCCTCCAGGGTCTCAGCAGAGGCCGGCCAGGTCAGTCACTGCCAGTCCAGAGGAACAGAAGCCCATGTGCCTGTCACTCTGGTTGGGCTGTGACAACTGGAGTCGGCCGCTGAGGGTACAGGGAGCATGAGCAGGCAAAGAAAAAAACCACAGATGAGGGGGACAGGAACCAGAGGGAAGCAGACCCAGTGGAAGAATTGGGACAGGTGTCTGTGTCTGAAATAGATCTGGGCAAGATCCAGGAGACAGCTTGGACAAAAAAGAAATACAAACTCTTAAAGAGATCCAATGGGAGTGAAGTAAAGATTTTCTGAAACTTAGAAGTGGTTCTTAAATCTTGAAGTTTGGACATAATAAATGAATATATTAATTAGAGAATTGTCTCTATGGAGAATTAAAATAATGACAGAAGATCAGGAGTAGAAGTATCTCAAAACCTAGGGCCCAAATACAAAGAGAAAAATCAGGGAGACAGAGACAGATAGTGAAGAAGAGAGATTCCGTAGACCTCAATGAAGGGCTAGGAGAGGACTTCTGTGCTAGGACAGGGCTGTTTAACATAACGAGAAGAATACAGGGTGCTTCGTGTATATAAAGATGAGAATGGTCATCGCTAATAGCTGGGAAGCCAGAGGGAATTTTCAAAATCATGGAGTGGAGAGGATAGGAATGCATAGTCACTTAACAAAGCCAGATAAATGAAGGAAAAGGAAAAATAAAACAATAACAAAGTAAAATAAACAGTAGCCATAACTTAAGAGGGCAGAAATAAAACAAGTGTGCCAATTATTCCCATGAGAGGAAATTGACTGAACCCCCTGAATAAAAGGCAGAAACTCCAGACTGAGTCAAGAAAGAAAGCTTGGCTCTATCCTGTTTACCAGCATCTCATCTAGAAAGAAATGATTAAGAAAGGTAAAAAATAAAGGTCTGGGCAAAAGGATGTCAGGAAAAGTGCCTCAGCCCTAACCACAACCATAGAAGAGGGAGTGAAAATACTAATATCAAAGTGAGACTGCGGCCCAAAGGCACTGAATGGGATCAAGACAATGATACAATGAAAGCAAAATGAAGCATAGTAATAATCATCATTTACTGAACTTTTGCTATGTACATAGAGCTGGGGAGTTCAAGGAATGATGTCATGTCGTCCCCACCATAGCCCTGTAAGGTGGATATTATCATTATCCCCATTTTACAGATACATAAATCAAGGCCTAGAGACTTTAAGCAGTTTGTTCAAGGCTTCCACTCTGAAGCCCACATTCTTGACCAGCACCCTCTTCCTTCCCCCTTACTTCATGAGAGCAAGAACAGCATTCTACCCAGGGCCGGCACTGATGTGGAGCCTATTGCACCTTTATGATGTGGCCTTTTGGGGATATAACCCACTGGAACACCTCTAACAATTTTTAAAATATACCAGATGGACTTGTTTTCAACGGAATGATACCATCTATTAATCAAAGCCACTCTACCGCCTGCATCTTTTACTCCCGTAAAGTCTCTTCTCAGCACACTCATGCCTTGCCTCCTCTGCCTTCCTCGGGACACTTAAGATGATTCAGGTCCATGTCTGTAAAGCTTGATGGTCGGAAGCAATAGTTTTTTTTCTTCATGCGGGAGTCATGAGTGCTTCTAGCCCCATCGTGATTTCCATACATCAAAAACATCTACAAGGAAGTAGAGGTTCGACATGATTGAAGTAATCTGGTTCATAGGAGTTGGCATCAAGGTAATGATAAAGTAATTTGATTAATTAACAGTAAAATGTAATTAAGGGGAAGGGATTTTGCA
This sequence comes from Homo sapiens, assembly GCF_000001405.40. NCBI lineage: Eukaryota > Metazoa > Chordata > Mammalia > Primates > Hominidae > Homo > Homo sapiens. Next base: position 6,211,274 of record NC_000017.11, on the reverse strand, counting down.
GTAGTTCTTCAATAGCTCAGCTTAGCTGAGATAACATATTAGACTAGACGTCTGCTTCTGGTACCAGCGTGTGACGCTGAAATAAACTCAGCATTCTCTACTTTCCATGGTAGTTCATTATTCAGATGTTATCTTATCTAATACTTGTCAATGTATTAGACATGTCATCCCAAATAAGCAAGAGCCATTGGCTGGGGACCCCATAACTGTCTTACCACAGATTTAAAGAACAATGGCCAATGTAAACAATATTTAATGTGCCTGACTGATACCTAATTATCTTGACATTGAATTACCAGTAAAACCTGAAAGGTTTTAAATATCTGATATTGATAAGAAAGTCATTATCACTGAGCATTTACTTACTACTTATACCAATTTCAGTTAATTACATGACAGTGAGATTGATTGCTTATGAAATCTTCAGTCCTCTTCTCACAATTAATTGATATCTAATCAACATAGGTCATCTTGTTAAATTCCCATTAGGGTATTTGCAGGGAGATGGGATTGGAGGCGTTCCTTCTAGTGGTGTTGCTTTCTTGTATCCTGCGGTGCTTTTGGGAGGTACCTATCCTAAGACTGGAGGCGAATGAAGAATTACAGAGGTTCTCAAACTGGACTGCATATTAGATAATCACCTGGGGAGCTTTTAAAAATGCATATGCCGAGGACACATACCCCTCCCTCAAACAATTAAATCAGATAATCTGGGAGTGGAACCCAGGGCTCAATATTATTTTAAACTCCTAGAATGATTCCAGTGTGTATCCAGATTGACAGCTTAGGGGTGAGTTAGACCTGAGGTATGAGCTGGACACCAGCCCCCTGCAGTAACTGGCTTTGATGCAGGGCGTGCAAGCCCCCTCTCCTGTCCCATAAAGGCTGGTGGTCAGCCACGAGCCATGGCCCATGCTCCTAGCAATGGAGCTCTGCTCAGCCCTGCCCTGTCCCACTGTCTCCATACAGTGTCTTGTGGCTGTCTTTCAGCGTCCACCTTTGAAGGAAGACTCCTCCTCTCCTGGCCAGCCACACCGGTCTGAGCTTGGTTTGGGGTCCTTCTCTCTTCCTCTTCCCCTCACCCCTCCTTTCCATGCCATCTTCCTATTCTCTTTCTTAATTGTGAACCTGTGACTTGGTTCTTCAGCCAGCCTGGTAGTGCCGGAGGGTTTCCCCTTCTGGCCAGCCCCATAGCACAAGGCCGGTTATGCTGGCTGGGGAGGTGATTCAGCTCCATAGCCAGAGGGGACTGTGACTTCTTGGTCATTGCTGAATATATAGTGCCTAGGGGAATGGGCATCTTCATAGTTGTCGAATGAGCAAAGCTTTTGAGAATTGAACCAGAGCCTACAAAGGGCTCACGTGCTGAGGACGGTGGGTCTGCAGTCACCTGTCATGTGGACTTAGGAGAAAGGAGCTGCACTGCTTTGCTGGGAAACAGTGAGGAGTTTATTTTGCTGATGAATGGAGCAAAATTATTCCCGAGGAGCAGCATGGATTGAAAGATACAGTGAGGGGTGGGGGTGGGGGGCATATGAGCGCTTTACGCCTAGGGGGTTGGGAATGGGTGTAAGGGGGGATGATGAGGGGGGAATGTGGTGCTGGGGGTGCGTGCTGGTGAGGACTTGCGGACATTGTGCATGCATGTGTGAGGATGCCCACAGTGTGGTCATAGTGAGCATTGCTTCTGTAGGCATTAGAGAGGACACACTGCAGGACCCATTCTAGAAAATTCTAGATAATGAAAACCAATCTACAGTGACAGACAGCAGAAGAGTGGCTGCTCAAGGATGGGGACATAAGCGAGAGATTACCAAGGGCACAAGAAAACTTTTGCGGGTGATAGATGTGTTCATTATCTTGATTGTAGTGATGAGTCTATGAGTATGCACACACATCACAACTCATCAAACTATACAGCTGTGAAGTGGAGGATCCGTCCATTATATTTCAATGAAACTAAAAAGAAAAGGAAAATAAAAAAAAAAGAGAACAAAGCTTCTGAAATCTGTCTGGGTTCTCACCTTGGCTTCCCTACTTCCTAGCTGGGATCTCTTTGGGTAAGTTACTTAAGATCTTGGTGCCTCAGTTTCTGTAAAATGGGAATAATAACTTGCTTATCTCAGACAGTTGTGCAAACGAGTAAGTTAGTAGCTGAGACAAAAGGATGCAAAGTCCTCATCGCAGTAGCTGGCACATTTTCACTGCCCAATGATTGGCACCGGCTATGACGATTTTTCGTGGACATGCCTGGCGCATGCACCTATGTTTATGTGCACGTGGCTGTGAACTTCTGCCTCTGTATCTGTGCCTGTTTATGTATGCAGGAGTGCGGGGTGTGAATCCGTGTGTCTGTCTGTGTCTGTGAGGGAGTGAGTGGGGCTGGGGATTCGTTCTGGGTGTGGGCAGTGAGTTCAGGCATGAATCTTTCCTTCTCCATCTACCACAACCTCCTCCTCCTCTTCCTCCTCCTCCTCCTCCTCCTCCTCCTCCACCAGACCACGTGGGTCTTGTTGTTTTTTTTTTTGTTTTTTTGGGACGGAGTCTTGCTCTGTCACCCAGGCTGGAGTGCAATGGCGCGATCTCGGCTCACCGCAACCTCTGCCCCCTGGGTTCAAGCAATTCTGCCTCAGCCTCCTGAGTAGTTGGGATTACAGGTGTGCACCACCACGCCTGGCTAATTTTTGTATTTTTAGTAGAGATGGGGTTTCACCACACTGGTCAGGCTGGTCTCAAACTCCTGACCTCTCAAACTCCACCTCAGCCTCCCAAAGCGCTGGGATTACAGGTATGAGCCACAGCACCTGGCCCCCTTTTTTTTTGTTTTTTTAAACAGTTACTAAACTGCTACATTTACTGACTCATTCAGTCTTTTATCATATCCAATAACACAGTGCATTTTGGAAATCACATCGCCTCAGTTCCTTCATGGCTTCTGCAAATCAAATTTATTTTACCATTGAAAATGTCAAAAGGATTCAGCCAAAGGAAACCTGGAGCTTTCTGGGGTGCAGGACCCTGAAGCTGGCTCTCAGGCTGCAGCGAAGGACAGGCTAAAATGCCTCTTTTCCATGTGGATTCAATTTATGTGAATTTCCTTAAAGCTGGGAGGCAGTTGGAGCTCCTCCTGGGAGAATAGAACCTTCAGACCTCTCTGGAGCAGGCTCACATGGGAGGAGAGAATTAGTGTCAGCTTCGGGGGTCAACATGGTATCACCAGTTTGCACTGCCCTGAGCTGGGAGCAGGGTAAGAGGAGCGTTGGAGTCCTGGCCCTCGGGGAGGTCACTGATGAGGACAGTGACCCAGGGCGGCCCCGGAGCTCAGGGGACGGCTCCCCAGGCCAGGTCTGCACACACTGAGCAATGATTCGAGGACAGTGTTCACAGGGTGGACTTCTGGACCTGACTCCTCTGGAGTTGAGTCCCAGCTCTGCCACTCACCAGCTGGGCAACCTCGGTTAGGTCGCTTTACTTCTCTGACAGTGTCATGTAATGTGGAGATCAGGGAATCTCAGTGCATAGCCCCCACTTCCAGGTTCTCCATCATATATGCTGAGTCTAAATTGGAATCTAGACCGAGTCAGGGGATTTGTGTACCTCTTTTGTTGTTTATTATTGACACATAATAGTTATACATGTTTGTGGGGTACGGTGTGATGTTTCAATGTATGCACTGTATAATGACTAAAGCATGGTAGTTTAAAAAAATGTGGAATGCGGCCAGGCACGGTGGCTCATGCCTATAATCCCAGCACTTTGGGAGGCCGAGGTGGGCGGATCATGAGGTCATGAGATCGAGACCATCCTGACTAACATGGTGAAACCCCGTCTCTACTAAAAATACAAAAAATTAGCCGGGCATGGTGGCGGGCACCTGTAGTCCCAGCTACACCAGAGGCTGAGGCAGGAGAATGGCGTGAACCCGGGAGGCGGAGCTCGCAGTGAGCCGAGATGGCGCCACTGCACACCAGCCTGGGCGACAGAGCGAGACTCTGTCTCAAAAAAAAAAATGTGGAATGTTTCACAAACTTTTGTGTCATTCTTGAGCAGGGGCCAGGCTAATCTTCTCAGTATTATTCCAATTTTAGTCTATGTGCTGCTGAAGGGGGCACTCAAGTGTCTTTATCAAAAGGATCATAGGTGCACAAGGCCACAAGTCTCAAGTCTCAGGGGTGTTGATTTCCTGATTTCAGAGGAGAGAGACATCTGTATAGGGAGGCTAAAGCTTGCAGTACCTCTATTGAGCACCTACTGTGTGCTGGGGCCTGGCCTGTCCCTGCGGATGCAAATCATAGATGGGCTGCGCCCCTGACTTCCAGGAATCACCCTTGATTGGGATATGGGTGTGGTGAAACTTCTAGGACTCCAGGATCTGTGTTAGGAAGTGGGATAGAGCATGAGGCAGGAACATCTGGGTTCTGATAGAAGGGATCCTCCAGGAGGGCTTCCTGAGATGGGCCCAGGCGAATGAAAGACAGGTGCCTACAGTGGTAAGTAATAGAGGCAGGGGTGTAATTGGAACATAAGGTGGTAGGTTGGGAACAGGAGAGATGAGGTTGAGATGTCAATTAGAGCTGGCTTACAGTGGTCCTGGTGTCAAACGAAGATGTGGGCTTTATCCTGGAAGGATACTTGTGTTTCGAGTAGGGTGTGTCTGGAGTCCCCGGGACCACCTCCTTGTGCAATGATTGGCCAAGAGTGCTCGTGGGACTCAGCATGCAGTCACACTCATGGCTACGATTCATCACAGCAAAACAATACAGAGTAAGGCCAGCAAAGGGAAAAGGCTCCTGGGTGAAGTCTGGGGAAGACCAGGCACAAGCTTCCAAGGGTCCTCTCCCAGAGAAGCCGCACATGTGGTGCTCAATCGCCTGAGCCACAGGTCGGGGCAACAGTGTGAAATGTTGTCTCTCAGAGGAGCTCATTGGAGACTCCGTGCCCAGAGATTTTATTGGGGGGATGGTCACATAGATACCCTTGGTCTAATGCTTACTAAATTTCCAGACTCCCAAAGGCAAAGCAGGTGTTTAGCTTAAACCACGCTGTTTGCACAAACATTTTAGGCAGAGTAAGCCGCTCACATCAGTTAGGATGGGGACCCTTCTGTCACCTACGTTCCCAGACACCAGCCAAGGGCGAGCTTGCAACAGGCCTTTTTAGAATGCCAGAGCCCCACGCCTGTAATCCTAGCACTTTGGGAGGCTGAGGTGAGGGGATTGCCTGAGCTCAGGAGTTCGAGACCAGCCTGGGCAACACGGTGAAACAACAGCTCTACTAAAATATAAAAAATTAGCCAGGCTTGGTGGTGGACGCCTGTAGTCCCAGCTATCTGGGAGGCTGAGGCAGGAGAATCACTTGAACCTGGGAGGCAGAGGTTTCAGTGAGCAGAGATGGTGCCACTGTACTGCAGCTTGGGCAACAGGAGCGAGACTCTGCCTCAAAAACAAACAAACAAAACAAAACAAAACAAAACAAGAATGGTAACGCCAACTCTTTTCTGCACACAGGGGCACTAACACGGTGAGGTTTGCCTGGAAACCCATGTGAGAGGTGGATTGGCGGTGGAGCCAGGAGGCAGGGAGGTCAGTGAGGAAGCCAGCCTAGCAAGAGTCTTCTGGAAAGAAGATGAAGCCTGACCTAGGGCAGCTGTCTTTGTTAGGCTTTTGGTTGTACGTCCCCATGTCAGAGTGGCTCAGGAAAATCAAAGAGTATTTAGTACATGGATTCAGGTATGTCGCAGAACTAACTCAAAGGCAAAAGATTTGGCATTTGCACCGCTGTCAGAAAGGATGGGCTTCTCTTGGTTTTCTCTCCCTAAGACCATGGGGTTTTCTCTTTCGGCTTCCCTCTATGCATCCTCTGCAGTCCCTTTTCTCTACAGATTGACTTTCTTTATGTTTTTGACACAATGGCTGCCAGACAGAAAAGCCTGATCCCTCTCGTATTTACACATTCTCTCTTCCTGTGAGCATCTGGGATTCACACCAGCATTTCTCAAGGGCAATTACAACTGCTTGTGAGAGAGAATTTGATTGATGTGCAATGGATTAGGCATCCTCTTGCTCCAAATTAGCTAACATCAGGGACTGAGAATCACATAGTGTTAGCATGGTTGTCCCATGAGTTGGAACAGGAGCTGAGAAAGAAAGTGGTCTCACGGTTCCTGGACACCAGGCGGTGATCAGTCATTTGAGATACATCTGACGCATCTGAGTTCAGTGAGGGAGATAAATAAAGAAACTGAAAAATTGGGAGGGTGTGAATTTGACATCGTTTCAGTAGGTAAATTTTAGAAAAACTTTCTTCAGCAATGATCATAAAATCAATGGTAGTTACAACTTTTTGTTTTGTTTTGTTTTGTTTTTGTTTTTGTTTTTTGAGCTGGAGTTTTGCTCTTGTTGCCCAGGCTGGCATGCAGTGGTCCAGTCTCGGCTCACTGCAACCTCTGCCTCCCGGGTTCAAGCGATTCTCCTGCCTCAGCCATAAGAGCAGCTGGGACTACAGGTGTGCACCACCTTGCCCGACCAATTTTTGTATTTTTAGTACAGACGGGGTTTCACCTTGTTGGCCAGGATGGTCTCGATCTCCTGACCTTTTGTTCCTCCTGTCTCAGCCTCCCAAAGTGCTGGGATTACAGGCATAAGTCACCGCGCCCAGCCAGTATTTATAAATTTGACAGCAGGTTCTGCTCTCCAGTGGAACTCATTCTGTGCCTTCTGTTCTGGAAGTTCTGAGAGTGAAGGGAGAAGTCAGGAATACACGAGCCGTTCCCCTCACCCTCACTGTTTAACACTTACTAATGGGGATTTTACTGGGGACAGTGAGGCAAAGAAGTTGGATGGCTTTTGTAAGTTCACATAACATGTCCTTAGAATCACATAGAATCTCTCATTCGTTTTTTCTACAAACATTTACAGAGTCCCTAATGGGAGAGTGTCGATCTTTGGGGCAGATGCACAGAGATGAGCAAATGTGCTTTCTACTTTGAAGAGTTTAATCTCGTTAAAGACACAAGTGTGAACGTTCGAGGTGATGGATATCCCATTATCCTGCTTTGATCATTATACATTGTATGCAGGTATCAGAACATCATATATACCCCCAAAATAAGTACAACAATTCTATGCAAGTAAAAAGTTATATGAAAAAGACACAGGTGTGTAAATTGTACATGATTAGTGACATAACAGAGGAGAATCAGTTAGGGATTGTGAGTTGCAAGCAACATAAATGAACTTCGGGTAACTTAAGCAAAAAAAGGAGGAATTCACTAGAAGTATGTGGGATGACTCACAGAATTAAAGATACATTGCAGCACCAGGCTTTGGAAAGCTCGGGAAAGAGAGTTGTCCAAGGATCCAGTGAGTAGGAGAGAATGGACGGTGTTTTCAGGGCTCCAGTTTCAGGAGCAAAGTCACCCCGGTCATTTTCCATCTTGGATCACTTGCTGGCAATTTAAGGCCATGCAAGATAATCTGATTGGTCTAATGTGGACCATCCCCTAGCTTTTTCAGGGCCTCTTGGCTGATGGCACCACCAAGGCTATATCCATAGGAAAAAGAGTAGCCCCCTATAGAGATCTGCATCCTGTAACCAGAACAAGGCAAGGAGAGATGCAAGGAGAGATGCTGGGAGGGGCTGGTGAAGACTCATCATTGGCTCCAGTATCAGCGCTCTTCCATACTAGTTGAGTTTTTTTTTTTTTTTGAGAGTGAGTTTCACTCTCGTCACCCAGGCTGGAGAGCAGTGGCGCAATCTCAGCTCAACTCCTGCCCCCTGAGTTCAAGCAATTCTCCTGCCTCACCCTCCCACATAGCTGGGATTGCAGGTGCCCACCACCATGCCTGGCTAATTTTTGTATTTTTCGTAGAGATGGGGTTTTACCATGTTGGCCAGGCTGGTCTCGAACTCCGGACCTCAGGTGATCCACCAGCCTAGGCCTCCCAAAGTGCTGGGATTACAGGCGTGAGTCACCACTGCTCCTGGCCACTAGTTGAATTTTCTAGATGGGCCTATGACCACCTAAACATTACATTTCCCTGCATTCCTGGCAGGTAGGCATGCCTGTGTAACTAAGTCCTGGCCAGTGTAATTGAAGTAGAGTGCCGTGTGGCAGTTTTTGAAAATTTTTCTTAAAAGAGGGCAGAATCCTTTGTCACCTCCTCCTTGATTCCTGCCCACTCCATCCTGTGGCATTGGATATGCTCTGATGGCTGAAGTTCCAGCCACCATCATGTGCTAAGAGCCTGAGAACCACACCCCAGGGAGAACTGAAGAAAAAAAAGCCAGAGTAGCCTGGATTCCAGAAGATTGTGTAGTTGCCTCCCAACCCTGGGCTTTTATTTGGAGGGATGACTACACTCCTATTCTGTTTAAGCCATGGTTGTTTGAGGGACTCTGTTACGTGCAGCTGAACCAAATCCTAAGAGATCCAGCAGGCAAAAGTATTGATGCCTGCAACAAGAGGTCGTTCCAATTTGCTGCTGGAACCCAGAAGAGAATGCGATAAAATCTACTCGGAAAAGGTCAGGGAAGGCTTCATAGAGGAGGTGACATTTGAGCAAGGTCTATGAAGCAACTGAGCGTTCCAGGCTGGGAGGGAAGGATGGCAGGTCCTGCTCATCTTCCCCCACTACCTTGAGACTCGGTGCATGAATTTGGGAGTCACTCCCTTCTGGCTCCGCGTGGTGTTCTCACAGTCTCCATGACTAAAGGCCACACGGCGGGGTCCTGGAGAAATCAAGCAATTTACCGAAAATGGAGGGAAGTTTGGGCTCAGTGACACCTCAGTTCTTCTGGGAAGAGGCCAATTTCCTATTGCATTTCCACAAATCTGACAGAGTAGATGTCTCAGTGGGATTAAGCGTGTATATGTGTTTGTGTATACACCCCTGAGTGTGAGTGTGTGTGTGTGTAATCGGAGAGCACTCTGGAAGTGTACCTGCAGCCTGATCTTTATTTGCCAAAACCCAGATCAATATTTTTGTTACCAGTTAATTTAATTTCTCTTAGGTGAGAAGACGTTATACTCAATACCTCTTTGGCAGTTTCTGACAGCAAAAAGCTGTACCAGGGCTAGTCCCCATGGCTAGCAGCTTCGTTCCCATTGCCTTGGGAACCATGTAGCTGCTCACAGAAGAGTCACAATGTATGTGAAGAAGTTGGGTGAGGCCATGGGCACAGGGCTGGCCAGAGACCAGTCCATCTGCACTGGGAGGGAATCATCTAGTCCCAAACCAGTTCTGTCCTTGTCTACTCCTCATGAATCCTTGGCTTGGTCTCCATCAGCCTCCTCCAGGGCTGTGAGTAGGCAGGACCCAGTCTGAGAACCTTATAGTAACCACACTCCATGCCTTGGGCATACAAGCCATGCCACTAGCAGATTCCTCTGAACATATTTCTAGCTCTAGGTTCAACCTTTCATCTCTTAGGATGAAGGGAATGGCTGAGAGTAGACCTGCCTGGGTGAAGGCTTCTTTTATTAGGCTGAAATGGGAAGTACATGAGGCTTCCTTGCAATAAAAGGAGCCCTTCCCGTAGCTGCTCAGAGTATCTGACAGGCAGACCTGGCTGGGTTTGGGCTCGAGAGGAGAGACAGTCAGAAGTGAAATGCACACTATTTTCCAGGCACTCCAAGCACCCATTTCATGAATTCAACTCAATTCAACCAGCATTTGAAAACTTCCACTCTCAGACTACAGTCAGACTACAATCACATCCCACCTGACCCATAGCTCATGACTGCCAGCCAGAGACCACCAGAAACACACAGGTAGCTTAACAACATTGGCTTTAATACACAAGTTGAAACAAGAGCAAAGATCCACTACAGGAAACTGTGAAGCATCCCAGTAAGGGAGACTTGAATAGGACTTACAGGAACCAGGCTTATGTTAGGTGATGGCGGACAGAATTCAAGGGAATGGAGCTTTGCTCTGGATTGGATGCTGGTGAAGGTAATTCTGTATCTGGTATCTAATAATTATTTTCTGTAAGGTGAGGAGAATAGAGAGAGACAAAGGCTGTGATTGCTAAAGACGTAGCAGTTCCTCATGGCAGCCCAGATTGGGAGATATTTAGTGATTTTCATGCACCTCTGGATAAGTTTCATGTTGACTCTGTTCAAACATGATTATGAGGGGTCTGGATTGGGTCTTAAGGCATCACAGTCTCAGAGTCTCCATGTCCAATGTTGATGTCCTGCAAAATTGCCCATGTTCAACAGTAGAGCACCAAGGCCTAGCTGAGGATACCAGGCCAGCTCTCGGCTACTGAGGTGCTTTCCTCTTTCCTACCCAGGAAGCATTCCCAGATGTTTCATTTTGTCCACTCTGTGCAATGGCCTGTGCACTGGGAGTCCAGAGAGGAAACAGCCATAGTTCCACCCCAGGGGAGCTCTCATCTTAGAATGGGGACAGGCTTGTCACTAATTGTGGTAATATTCTCAATTCATAAACTCAGCTGAGCAAAAAAAATTAGACTTTATTTTTCTGTAATTCAACCTAATTTCTGTCTCAAGCGTCCCATTCAGCTGGGATAGAAACTTATTTTCAGTTGCTATGGTCTGAATGTTTGTGTTCATAAGTTGAAATCCTCACCCCCAAGATGATAGTATGAGGAGGTGGGGCCTTTGGGAGGTGATTAGGTCAGGAGGGTGGAGCCCTCATGAATGGGGTTAGTGCCCTGATAAAAAAGGCTGCAGGGACATCCCTTGCCCCTCCTACCATGTAAGGACATGATGAGAAGGCATCATCTATTGACCACGAAGCAGGCCCTCACCATCCGGTGAGGACACAGTGAAAAGGCATCATCTATTGATCAGGAAGCAGGCCCTCACCATCCGGTGAGGACACAGTGAAAAGGCATCATCTATTGATCAGGAAGCAGGCCCTCACCATCCGGTGAGGACACAGTGAAAAGGCATCATCTATTGATCAGGAAGCAGGCCCTCACCACACGCTGAATCTACTGTTGCCTTGATCTTGGACTTCCCAGCCTTCAGAATCATGAGAAATAAAATTGTGTTACTTATAAGCTATTCAGTTTATGGTATTTGGTTATAGCTGCCTGAATGAGTTAAGAAATCTGTAATTGTCTCCCTGTCTGTCTTCACGGCTGCATCTCCATGTTCAGGAGGGCTGATATAGTGGAAGGGGTGTGGTCAACAATTTGAAATAAAAATTCTAGGTGATGTTATCAAGGTGGGGTGGGGGAAAAATGGGTGGACATGGCCTCACCCAACTCAACTCATAATAAAACTATGCTAAGGTTTCATCTCAGTCAACCAGAGGGATGTATTTACAGATTTGTGCTGGAAATTGCTTAAAAAATGTATGTTTGCTAATAAAGTTATAGAAAATGTAATTTTAAGTCCAGCACAGGAAAAATATCATATCTGAAATAACAACAAAAACAACTTGATCAACCCCATGAGAAACAAGGAAAGGAAAATAAAGAAAAAATAGGAAGTTGGGAAACCAAAATAAAACAGCAGAAATAAATATAGATTATCTATTACATAATGCAAACATATTAAATTTACCAATTAAAAGAGATTCTTAAATTTGATTTTTAAAAAAATGGTTGCTATTTAAGAGCATCTATAACTATTTATATAAGAGCAACTCATGTACTATTTAAAAGCAAAAGAGCTAAAACTAAATGACACCAAAGTATTACAAATAAAGAGATAAATAGCAATAACAGACCTGCAAAAGAAATATAGTCAGGCATCACTTAAAAACTGGGATACACTCTGAGAAATGTGCTGTTAAACAATTTCGTTGTGTGAACATCATCGCGTGCACTTCACAGAAACCTGGATAGTATAGCCTATTACATACCAAGGCTATAGCATATAGCCTACTGCTCCCAGGCTACAAACCTGGACATCGCGGTGGTGTACTGAATACTGTCAGCAATTGTAACACAATAGGAAGTATTTGTGTATATAAACATAGAAAAGAGACAGTAAAAGTGTGACATAAAAGATTATTTAAAAATGACACTTCTGGCCGGGCGCAGTGGCTCATGCCTGTAATCCCAGCACTTTGGGAGTCCGAGGCAGGCGGATGACGAGGTCAGGAAATCGAGACCATCCTGGCTAACACAGTGAAACCCCTGTCTCTACTAAAAATACAAAAAATTAGCCAGGTGTGGTGGCGGGCGCCTGTAGTCCCAGCTACTCGGGAGGCTGAGGCAGGAGAATGGCGTGAACCCGGGAGGCAGAGCTGGCAGTGAGCCGAGATCGCGCCACTGCACTCCAGCCTGGGCGACAGAGCAAGACTCTGTCTCAAAAAAAAAAAAAAAAAAATGACACTTCTATACAGGACATAAGTTTCTATACCAGCTGAATGGGAAGCTTGAAACAGAAATTAGGTTGAATTATAGAAAAATTAAGTTTTATATTTTTGCACAGCTGAATTTGTGAACTGAGGATATTACCACAACTAGTGATGAGAATATCCCCGTTCTGAGATAAGGGCACTTACTATAAATGCAGGAGCTTTCAGGACTGGAACTTGCTCTGGGAGAGTCAGTGTGTGAGTGGTGAGTGGGCATGAATGTGAAAGTCTAGGACATTACTGTACACTACATAAATACTGTGCACTTAAACTACACTCAAATTTATTTTAAAATATTTTTCTTCAATAATGAATTAACCATAGCTTATTGCAACATTTTTATTTTATAAGCTTTAATTTTTAAGAACGGGCACGGTGGCTCACACATGTACTCCCAGGACTTTGGGAGGCTGAGGCGGGCAGATCACCTGAGATCAGGAGTTTGAGACCAGCCTGGCCAACATGGTGAAACCCCATCTCTACTAAAAATACAAAAATTAGCCAGGTGTGGTGGTGCACACCTGTAATCCCAGATACTTCGGAGGCTGAGGCAGGAGAATCACTTGAACCTGGAGGCGGAGGTTGCAGTGAGCTGAGATCACACGACTGAACTCCATCCTGGGCAACAAGAGTGAAACTCTGTCTCAAAAATAAAATAAAAATAACAAAAACCTTTAATTTTTAAAGTTTCTGACTCTTTTGTAATAACACTTAGCATTAAATATATACATCATTGTACAACTATAAAAATATTTTCTTTCTTTATATTCTTACACTATAAGATCTTTTTTATTTAAAATTTTTTTCTTTTTCTTTTTCCTTTTTAAACTTTTTTTGTTAAAAACAAAGACACAAGCACACACACTAGCCTAGGCCTACACAAGGTCAGGGTCATCAATATCACTGTCTTCCACCTCCACATTTTGTCCCACTGGAAGGTCTTCAGGGGTAATAACATGCATGGAACTGTCATCTCCCGTGATAACAATGCCTTCTTCTGGAAAACTCCCTGAAGGACCTGCCTGAAGCTGTTTTACAGTGAACCATTTTTTATAAGCAGCAGAAGTACATTCTAAAATAACGATGAAAAATACAGTATAGTAAGTATATAAAGCAGTAATGCAGTCTTTTATTATCATTATCAAGTATTATGTGCTGTACGTAATCGTGTGTGTGCTATACTTTTATATCACTGGCAGCACAGTAGATTGGTTTACACCTACATCACCAAAAACACATGAGTAATGCATTGTCTATGCTGATGTTATGATGGCTATAACCTCACTAGACAATAGGAATGTCTCAGCTTCATTATAATCTTATGGGAACACCATCATATACTTGGTCCGCCATTGACCAAAATGTCACTATGTAGTGCATGACTGTATTAACATCAGACAAAACTGAACTTAAGATGGAAGATATTAAAAGTATTAGGGACAGGCATTGCCGTGTATGAATCCGTCAATACCAGCCTTGAAATATACAAAGCAAAAACTGAAATAATTAGAGAGAAGAGTTGACAAATAAACAAATATAGTGGGCGATTTTTAAGAAATCTTTTTCAGAAGCTGGTGGATTAAAAGGAATGTATAGTTATGTCTGCATAAATGTAAATTTAAACTTGACAAAGAGAGGATACATGTCAAAAAATGGGCTATGCACAGACCACAAAAGAAGTATCAATAAATTCCAAAGAATCTTCATTACTTACAGTTTCTCTATCTGGTATGCAATAAAATTAGTAATCAACAACAAAGAGATGTTTTAAGTACATGTTTGGAAATTAAAAATCACACATCTAAATTATCCAGGGGTTAAAAAAGAAAATCATAACAGAAATTAACAGGTATTTCAAATTGAAAGTAATAAAGACATTACATATCTCAGCTTGTCTGAGGCAGTTTCACTGGTTCTTAGAGGGGTAATTTATAGTGTTGAATGCATTTATTAGGAAATTAGAACAGCTGTATATAACCCACAATCCAAGCAATCAATTCAAGAATCTGGAAAAAGAATCAGGGAAACTAGAAAGAAGGGAATAATGAAGATAATGATAGAAATGAATAAACAATAAAACAAATAATAGACAGCCACATAAAATAAAGACATCAGCAAAACTAAGTGTGGTTGCTTGGAAAGGCCAATGTTTTACCGATTTTGGTAACAGTAGTTCAGAAAAAGAGAGAGAAGGTGTACATGAACAATATTCAAAATAAAAAGAAAATGTCCGCATACAAACTAGAGATGTTTTACCATAAATGAGTGCTCTGAACACCAGGTGCCAATCTGTCTGAAACCCTGGAGAGTGCCTCTTTGATTCCATTTAGACTCCCACAGGTCACAGCACAGAGCCTGGGACAGCGCAGGCCCCCAACAGAGATGTGTTGACTGGCAGAGCAGAATTAAAGCTCTGGAGAACAGCAGCCTTTCATTCCGTTAAGACTCCTTTCACAATTGCTCAATTCAGAATCATATCAGAACAAATGCCACTTGGTTGAATCCCATTTACTCAATTGAGAAATGGGATTCAACCAAGTGGCATTTGTTCGGAAATGACTCATGGAGCCAGGGGAGTTTGATCAGGGAAGGTGAGGTCAAAAATCAGAAAGAAACGGTTACCAGGGCTCCAAAGCAGGAGATTGTCAGATGAAGAAGGTGGAGAGAGGAAGCCACTAAGCAGGAGAAACAGCATTTGCCAAGGCAAAGAGGTCAGGATGGGTACCGTTGGTCACTTATTACTTGTGTAGCTTTGGGCAAGTCCCTTAACTGATCTGAGCCCAAATGTCCTCATCGTCAAGCTGAGGGTCATCCCAGTGCCAGCTTCGTGGAATTATGAAGATGAAATAAGCTAATGAATGTAAGGCTCCTGTTCTGGGGCCACTCAAGAGTCAGCACTTAATAAACGCAAGCGATGGTTGTGACAATGATGATGATTATTGGTTTTAGCAGTAGAGTGGCACAGGATGTGTGGGGTCGAAGAGGAGTGTAAGAAGACAAAAGGAAAGACAGGTTCAAGTGAGACTGTGAAGGGTCATAAACACCACCCCAAAAGGCAGACATTATTCCAGGTCTCCCAAGGAGTCATCGAAGGTGTTTGAGTTGGGACTTGCTATATAAAATAGGGCACAGCCCAGTGAAAGGGAAGTGTACCTGAGAGTCAGCTATGGAGGGGGAAAGATGCCCATGGAAGGGAACTCCTTGGGGGTCCTGGCCACACAATATGTCATGGGTCTTACCACCACCTAAATCTCCACTTTTCAAAATATTTTCATTCCCTTCTATTTCAATTTCCCCAGCTGTGTGGCATCAGAGCTGTGTGTGTGTGTGTGTGTATGTGTATTTAAATATTGGAAACCACTAAAAGCAAAAGAATAGCTCTACACAAATTCACTCCACAGCCACGTTTCTTAGCATCCACCTATTCTCCAAACAAGAGCATGGTGGAAGAACATTTATCTAACTTGGCTAATTAGAAAATATCTTTCCCTGCTTGGGTAGAAGTCCAGGAAGGCAGCATATCTGGTATTCTCCAGCTTGTATGCTGTGGAGTTGGCTGGCCTTGCCTGCTTAAAAAAGCTTCAAAGGATGCAGCTGCTGCATTTAATTTCCCTATCACTCTGCCTCCTGAACACACAGGCACCCTCAGAGGATGCAGAGACCTGCAGTCCTGATGAGTCTTAATAAAATGTGCTACAGAAAGTCAATACCCTGTCGAGTGAGACCTGCCTGCTTCCTTCTGTTAAAATAACATTTTTAAAAAGCTAATTCATAGAAAAATATAGGGGCTGGTTGATGAGTCAGTATTGCTGTATCCACTGATCCAGTCCTTTAGTACACATTCCAGACCCTGCTGGCCTCCACATTTATACCTGGAACCTCTCTGGTACTTACCCCTTTCCTTTACCTGTGTCTCCCTCCATGCTTGCTCAGATAGGGGCTGATTTAATGTATTTAACAAACATATATGAGGCACTAACTATGATCCAGGTTCAATGCTGGGCACAAATTATCCATTGATGGGTAAGATACATTCTTAGCCCTCAAGGGTCCTGTGGGGAATCAGGTAAACCAGAATGCAGGCAGTGTGATGTGTGCTCCAACTAGGGGATGTAGGAAGGGGAGCAGGAGCATTGGAGATACAGAACCTGAGTCTGTCAAGTAGAACGTAGGATGACTCCACCAAAAAGGCAGCATTCGAACTGAGACTTGATGGGTGAGTGGCAGTTTTCTAGATGGGCAAAATGGGGGAAAATATCCCACGCATGATCCAAGGCAGAGGTGCATGGGACGCTGCTGTGATTGGGCAACTCCAAGAAGGCTGTGATAGAAAAAAGCCCCACTGCTCAGCCAAGCATCTGCATGGGACTGGCCAGCCTGCAAAGACACCAGAGGATGTCTTGGTGTAGCCCGTGGATAGGAAGCATCCTTGCCACCATCACCATCACCATCACCAACTCCATCACCACCACCTCCTTCGCCACCATCTCCATCACCACCACCTCCATCACCACCACCCCCATCACCATCACCCCCATCACCACCACCCCCATCACCATCACCACCACCCCCATCACCATCACCCCCATCATCACCACCCCCATCACCACCACCACCATCACCACCACCTCCATCACCACCACCCCCATCACCACCACCACCTCCATCACCACCACCTCCATCACCACCACCACCACCACCTCCATCACCACCACCTCCATCACCACCACCCCCATCACCACCACCACCATCACCACCACCTCCATCACCACCACCCCCATCACCACCACCACCTCCACCACCACCACCTCCATCACCACCACCTCCATCACCATCACCACCATCTCCATCACCACCACCCCCATCACCACCACCACCACCACCTCCATCAGCACCACCCCCATCACCACCATCTCCATCACCACCACCTCCATCACCATCACCACCACCTCCATCACCACCACCTCCATCACCACCACCTCCATCACCACCACCTCCATCACCACCACCTCCATCACCACCACCTCCATCACCACCACCTCCAACAACACCACCTCCATCAGCTCCTGTCTAGCAGAAGCCATTTTCTTTCTTGCCCTAAATTTCTGCCATGGCCCCATTAAAGATGAAAATAGGAATTTCAGCCCTCCTGGAAGTGTGGGCACATCGTTTTTACCCTTGTCTCTACCCCCTCGCTCATTCCTCCCTAGGGGAGAAGTGTCTTGACTGGCCTGAGGTTCTGTTAAAGGATTGAGCATGAGTTGCTGGGTTTCTCTGGATCATTCTCTCTTTTTGACCAGCCTGACTATGGCTGCAGGTGTTTTTCTTCCTCCCCTGTATATGATAATCTCACCTGGGCAGTCATGGATGGGTACATTCAATTTGGGTAGAAATCCAGGTTTGGTTCAGAAGTTTCAAGTAGCATTTTCCAACCAAGTCTTACTAGGAAAAACAAAACAAAACAAAAACTGTTTTGTTACCTGTCTGTTTCTTGTCTCTATTACTCAATTGCTTCAGAACCTGGAGGAGTGTATCTATTATTTATTACCATATAATGCTACATAAAATTGCTACTTATCCTCTGTAACCTACAAGCATTGCATTTGTTGTGCGTGTGTCTGGGGTCAGCTGCAGGAGGCCCAGCCGCTCTGCTGATCTTCGCTGGGCTCACTCATGTGTCTGGCAGCTGGTGGGCTGTTGGCCCATCTAGAATGGCATTGGCTCTCCTTCATGTGAATCTCATTCTCTGTAGGCAAGCCTGGGCAAGTTCTCAGGGTTGTGGTGGAGAAGCAGAGAGGAAGCAGAAGCAAGCAAGATCTGCCGAGACCTAGGTGTGGAACAGGCTTATCATCATTTCTCCTGCATTCTTTTAAATGCAGCAAGTTGCAAGACCTGTCCAAATTCAGTGGGAGAAAAGACTCACGCTCTTTAGGGAGAGGAACTTCAATGGGCATGGATACAGAAGGGGTAAAGAGCTGAGATAATGGGCATGATTGCTATCTCAGAAACATAATCACTCTCACCACCATTATGAACTTGGCCTCACTACCACCAAGGTTCGTATCCTCACCTTCATCATGGACCCTCTGTCTGTGTGAAATTCATCTTACAATATACACAGTTCTTTCTATCTGATGGATGTGAACATGGCTTACAAACTCTAAACCCAGGTTCTAATGTCAGGGATGAATCATTTCATTGAGAGAGAAAGAGATGGCATCATTTTCATCTTTCTTTCTTTCTTTCTTTCTTTCTTCCTTCCTTTCTTTCTTTCTTTCTTTCTCTTTCTTTCCTTCTTTCTTTCTTGCTTTCTTTTTTCTTTCTTTTTTTTTTAGAAATGGGATCTCACTATGTTGCCCAGGCTTGTCTCAAACTCCTGATCTCAAGTAATCCTCCTGCATTGGCCTCCCAAAGTGCTGGGATTACAGGCATGAGCCATTGCACTTGACCATCACTTTCATTTTCTACGTGAGAAAACTAAAATCTGCCGACATCTGCTGATCGTGCTAAGGTCACACAGCTGCACAGTAGGGAGGCCCAGGCTCTTGTCCCCACCTGCTTATTGAGTGGCCAATGTGTGCCTCTATCAGCATCAGCAAAATGGCGTGTTTGTCTTTTTGCCTTCTCTCCATCCACAAAATCCGAGGCTTCCTAAAGCAGAGCCTCTTTCAGGATACGGGCAGTCAGCTCCCTTGAATCCGGAGGCTGCCTGTCTCACCCCCGAAGCTTAATTAAAATGAAGATGAAGTACTCTCCATGACGGGTCACACTCAGTGGCAGCCACCGTGCCAGGGACCCTGTCGGCCCTCTGATGCCGAGAATTCTTCTCCAGCTTCTACTCTGGCAGCAGCTTCCTCCGGGAGCCTCATTATAATTCCTTTGGTAATTAAAACAACAGATGTTATAATTAAAAGGCTCCTCATTAAATCACAAACAACCGAAGCTTGAGGTGGGTCCGCACTGAACAGTGTCACCAAGTCACCTTTGAAAGGGAATAAAACTCATGTGAAAGGGAGGTCTTGGCCCGATTCAGCTCCGTAAAAGGCAGCCGGGCTGGGGGTGTTTGTGAGGTGCTGGGAGATGCATCAGGAAAGCCCACAGAGGGTCCTTGGATCCGAGTGAGGGGATATGTGGTGGGTGATAGAATGACCCCCCAAGGCTGGGATGGAGGAGACAGCCAAGTGGAAGAGCCCTTGTGGATGCCCTGTCTTGCTCATTCTTTTGTACTCAGGGACCAGGAATATAGGGAGCTCCCAAGGCAACTGAGACATTGAGGACTTGGCACAAGAAAGCGGAGGAAAGTCCTAGATAAGGGCTCAGGATACTTGTTTCTTATCTCGCTGGGCCACTCGTCCTCTCATTGTCCCTGAGTAAGCCCCCTCTCTGAGTCACAGGACATTTGTCTGGGACATGGACAGAATAACACCTAACTCTGAGCTCCTGGGGCATGAGATGTTTGTAAATCCTCCAGCTTGGTGTCTGGGATGGAGGGACCTGGGAGTGGGAACTACCTGGGGTGCTAGGAGGTGTTTCCAAAAGGCACCTCACCAAGGAGCTACCCAGGCACAACTGCAGTTGATGGCTGACTTTTTTTTTTTTTTTTAGACAGAGTCTCATTTTGTCACCCAGGCTGGCGTGCAGTGGTGTGATCTCGGCTCACTGCAACCTCCACCTCCTGGGTTCAAGCGATTCTCCTGCCTCAGCCTCCTGAGTAGCTGGGATTACAGACACGCACCACCACGCCTGGCTAATTTTTGGATTTTTAGTAGAGACGGGGTTTCACCATGTTGGTCAGGCTGGTCTTGAACTCCTGACCTCATGATTCATCCACCTCGGTCTCCCAAAATGCTGGGATTACAGGCGTGAGCCACCGTGCCCGGCCGATGGCTGACTTCTGACTCATGTCCATGCATCTACAGGGGAAGCTTTCCAGGGAGGATTTCTCAGGATTGTGTGTTGCGTATGTTGTGTGTGTGTGTTGGCTGGGGGTGCTATAGCTGCATCAAACCCCCACAGAAGGGTAGCACCGCTTCAGCTCCCTTGCCCACTTCTCACCTCCCCACTCTGGCTATGCAGCTGATCTAGAGGGAGGTGTAAACAGCTCAGGGCAGTAATAACATGTTTTTATTGAAAGAGCCCGACCTCAGCCCTTCACTGCAGTCCAAATTGGCTTCCAGTCTCTCTCGCCTCTTCCCAGACATTGTCCTTGGGCGACCCTCATTCTGTCTCTCAGCGTGTTTCCACGACTGTGAACTGAGGGCATTGATGCCCCTGCATGAGTCATCTTGATTATTTGATGATAGAATAGTGGACCTGAATGCTTCTGCAGTGCCCACTGCATGCCAGGAAGGTTCTAGAACTTTACCTACATCAATTCATTTAGTCCTCACAACAGCCCTCTGGGAGGGCAAGTGGAAGAGTGAGTAGATCAGCTGGATAGGAGTGAGGAGTTGGAGGAAGGGTTGGGGTATGGCCAGGTAAGTGGCGGCCAGTGTGGCAGGGCCATGAAGGCTGCTGCAGAAATGTCTCTGAGTGGCTCAGGCCCTGCCCAGCACCATCTTGAGCCTCTTTCCCATCTCTGAGGCCCACCTCAGGGCAGTCCAGGCCCACATGCACCAGGCAGGCAGGTGCAGAAGGAAATGATGCTCCTTCTCTGGGTGGCCTGAGCCAGGCCAGAGTTTCATCCCACTAGCTTAGAGCAGCACCAGGTCAGGTGGCACTGGGAGAGGTGAGACGGAAACTAAGGCCACTTCAAATATCAGAGCAGGAGGGGGAGACCTAGCTTGTCCTGAATACTCATTACCACATCTCCAGCCTAGCACTATGCCCAGCACGTGGAAAACACTCAATCAGTATTGGATGGATGGATGGATGGATGGATGGATGGATGGATGGATAGATGGATGAATAGGCAGACAGACAGACAAACAATGATAAGTGGGCCCTATAACTACTATTTATTGAATACCTACCATTCAGTGTGTGCTAGACATCACATAATTCTATCTATTCCTCACAGTGACCTTGCAAGGTAAGCTTAATAATTACCATTTTACATTGCATTTTACAGTGCAGTTAAGTGACTTGCCTTAGTGCACACCCCCAGAAAGTGACAGCACCAGCATTTGAACCCTGACACAAGCATCTCCAAAACTGCATTCTTCCCACTGTGCCACAGTTAAGATGAGTCCACCAGCCCTGTTTAGGTGAGTTCTGGCCCTCCCTGTGTGTCCCCACATGCAGCCAACTGCATCCAACCTGTCCATGCCAGGTCCTGTCCTGAGAACAGTGGGCAGTGCTGGGCTTGGGGCGTGTGCAGGGGGGCGAGGGGAGCCCAGTGGAGGCTCAGACTGATTTCACCTGGCATTTCCTCAAGACTTTGGTGTTTGAACTGCGTTTTGAAGGCAAAGAAGTCAGATAGACAAATGAAAGAGAGGGAAAAGGCACTCCAGGTAGCAGGAACAGCATGTGCAGAATCAAAGAGGCATGAAGAAAACTTAAAATGTAGTCTTCCAAGTCATGTACCCTAGAACTTAAAGTATAATAAAAAAATAAACATAGAAAAATAAAATAAAATAAACTTTTAAAAAATGTAGCCTTCTTGCTGGTGGCAGTGATGGGATGGGGTGACAGGGACAGGAGAAATGGCAGGAAGAGGAGGTTGAAGCTAAGCTATGAAGGCCTTGGGGTGTCAGGCCAGGAAGGGAGAAGACATAGAAGTCTAAAGTTGGGGAATGTGATGCTCGGATATTCAATAAGAAAGTCCAATCAGGGCCGGGCGCGGTGGCTCACGCCTGTAATCCCAGCACTTTGGGAGGCCGAGGCGGGTGGATCACAAGATCAAGAGATGGAGACCATCCCGGCTAACACGGTGAAACCCCGTCTCTACTGAAAATACAAAAAATTAGCCGGGCGTGGTGGCGGGCGCCTGTAGTCCCAGCTACTCAGGAGGCTGAGGCTGGAGAATGGCGTGAACCCGGGAGGCGGAGCTTGCAGTGAGCCGAGATCGCGCCCCTGCACTCCAGCCTGGGCGACAGAGTGAGACTCCGTCTCAAAAAAAAAAAAAAACAACAGAAAGTCCAATGAGCATTAGGGATAACGATGACCAGAGGCCGAGAGACGTGATGCACAGGTCTGGGTAATTCCAATTACTATTTTTTTTTTTTTTTTTTTGAGGCAGGGACTCACTTTGTCACCCAGGCTGGGGTGCAGTGGTGTGATCTCAGCTCACTGCAGCCCCAACCTCCTGGGCTCAAGCAATCCTTCCACCTCAGTCCCCCAAGTAGCTGGGACCACAGGCGCATGCCATGATGCCCAGCTAATTTTTTTTGTATTTTTGGTAGAGATGGAGTTTTGCCATGTTGCCCAGGCTGGTCTCAAAGTCCTGATCGCAAGTGATCCAATTGACCTCCCAAAGTGCTAGGATTACAGGTGTGAGCCACCGCGCCCAGCCCCAATTACTCTTATGAATCAAAATTATAGCAGAATGGGATGAAATTATCTTTGGAAACCATCTCTATCCCCCTGGTTGCATAGGTGATGAACCTGATGCCCAGAGAGGGGCAGCAACTGGCTGATGATCACACAGAAGTCAGTAGCTGACCAGCACTGGTAGCAGCAGCTCGAGGAGAGGTGGACATTCTTTCCTTTTGTCTTTTGTGACTCCTGGTGCTGAGCAGAAACCAAAGTGGTGGCTTCATGAATTGTGGAATCCCAGCACGTCTGGGAGGTTTGTGTAAAATGATGCTAGTAATAAATTTTTTCCCCTTGAGGACAATGAAGTACAAAAGGAGGGGGCCAGTGCTTGACAGGAGCTCTGATTAAAGCAAAATACAGACGTTTTCAACAATAAAGGCTGCTGGCGCCACAGAGAAATGAGTGACGCAAAATACAACAGCCCGAGGCCGAGCTGGGAGAGAAGGGGGGCTGCAGGGTGACTGAGTCAGAGGCTGAATGAGCTGGAGGTGGGGAAGACACCTGTGGCTGCTGTCTTACAGCTCCATTGCTGCAGGAAAAATTCTGCCCGTTGCATCCAGGCGGGCCCCCCGCCCTGATGCCTATACCCCCGCTCTCCTCTTGCCAGGGAGTCCTGTGGCTTCCTGCATAGCAGACAGGGTAGCTGCATGCTATAGAGTCTGATCAAGGAATTTTTTCTGCACAAATTTATTTTTAAAAAGTAACTCATTGAATTAACTTGCAGTGGTATGGTCTTTATTTTCTTTTCTTTTCTTTTTTTTTTTTTTTAGCATTCTGCCACTTAGAAATAAATAAGAATAGACACAATCCCACAGCCCAGACTCCCATAGGCTCGGCTCTCCCCTGGAGATGCAGCTTAGTGTATGAGTAAGCTAAGGCTCAGGTGACCCCTCAAGAAGGGGAGGAAGTTCCCACACTTGGATTCCCTTTCTCACACCTAGGCAGTGCTCACAGCCTACCTTGTACAGTGTGTTCTTCATCAGTGCATATCCTGTGCTCCAGGTAGGTCATGTGCTGCAGGAGGAGAGGCCCTGTGGCATCTCCCTCCAAGAAATGGCCGTACACACCATGCTCAGGAGAAGCCAGGCTCTGGTTACTCAGAGCAGAGTGTCTGGGTCCTCCCTTCCATGAGCCTCAGTTTCCTCATCTGTCACATAGAGGATCAATCTGCATCACCTTTGAGTTTGCCTGAAGCATCAATGAATAGGGCATTTGTCCCCTAGACTGGTCTAGCTGTGGTTTCTGCCAGTGACTCAGAGGGGGTCTGACCCAGGATATGTGTAGAGAGCCTGATGTTTCTTGGAGGGAGTGCCTTAATCCATCTGGGCTGCTGTAACAAGCATGCCATAGGCTGGGGCTTTCAAACAACAGACATTTATTTCTCTCAGTTCTGGAGGCTGGGAAGTCCAAGATCAGGGTGTTGGCCAATTCAGTTCCTGATGAGGGCTCTCTTCCTTGTTTGCACACAGCTACCTTTTTGCTGTGTCCTCTCATAGAGGGGGTAGAAATCATATCTCTTGTGTCTCTTCTCAAAAGGGCACTAATTACCTTCCAAAGGCACTACCTCTTAAAACCATCACATTAGGGAATGAGGCTTCAACACATGAGTTTTGGGAGGATACAAACATTCAGTCCATTGTGGGGGTAAGTGGGGGCTGTGAGCCTACAAATGCGGGATCTGAGCACTAGCATGGAAGGCGCTTATAGGGTCTGGAGTCCATCCTCACCGAAAAGGCACAGTGAATGGTGTGAGCTGGTGGAGGCCCCATGGGCTGAAGCATGGCTACCGACAAGTACAACCCTCTTCCCCTCTCTGGGTCTCATTTCTTTACTTGAAAAGTAAAAATAGGTAATGCCTCTGTTCACTGTTGTGAACAGAGAATGACATTATGAATGAGCAAATGATCTTTTCTTTTTCTTTGGTTAATATTGTTAGTATTCTAATTATACAAATAATATATGAATATATTGTTACTGCACACATTTAAACAATGATGTTAACATGTAAGTAGACCTTTACCATCTATCCCAGGCCCCCGACCCTCCTTGGAGGTAACCACTATTCTCATTAAATGTCTGTTCATCTATGACTTTTATTTACACGCACATACATAGGCACGTTTAGAAATAAAGAACTTTCCTTTTCTTTTTTTCTCTTTTATTTTTTAATTTTTATTTTATTTTATTTGAGATGGAGTCTCACTCTGTCACCCAGGCTGGAGTGCAGTGGCACAATCTCAGCTCACTGCAACCTCTGCCACCCAGGTTCAAGCGACTGTCCTGCCTCACCCTCCCAAGCAGCTGGGATTACAGGTGCCTGCCACTATGCCCATCTAATTTTCGTATTTTTAGTAGAGACTGGGTTTCACCATCTTGGTCAGGCTGGTCTTGAACTCCTGACCTCGTGATCCACCCACCTCGGCCTCCCAAAGTGCTGGGATTACAGGCGTCAGCCACTGCGCCAGGCCTTTTTTTTTTCTTTTATAATGAGATTGTATTAACTGGGTCTTCTGATCAGGATCACACAAGGTTGCCATCAAGGTGTCCACTAGGCTGTGTTCTCATCTGGAGGCTTGAATGGGAGAAGCGTCCAAGTTCATTCCAGCTCATTCAGCCTGTTGGAAGAATACATTTCCTTGTAGCTGCATGACTGAGGGCCCCATTTTTTTTTTTTTTTTTTTTTTTACTGGCT
Organism: Homo sapiens; assembly: GCF_000001405.40. NCBI lineage: Eukaryota > Metazoa > Chordata > Mammalia > Primates > Hominidae > Homo > Homo sapiens. The sequence goes on along the minus strand of NC_000017.11, from coordinate 6,185,762 downwards.
ATTAGATAGAGACTGCCCCTGGTGCTAGAGGCCACCCAAAGCTCTTTGCCACATGGCCGTCTCCCTATCTCTAGGCAGTTAGCACATGACGGTTTGCTTTTCAAGGCCAGCAAGAGACTGTTTTCAACCTGCTAAGACATAGTCCTGAAAATGTAAGGTGGTCATGAGAGTAATAGCTCATCACCCTTGAAATATTCTATTGGTTAAAAACCCACCCACACTCAAGGGGAGGGGATTACACAAGGGTGGACTCAGTGTGGGTCACCTTAGGGTATGTCTACCCCAGGGTGGTAATATTCCTCTTCCAAGCCCTGTGTTGGTTCCAGAGTCCTGCACTCTCTCCCTGCTACTTCCCTACACCTTGCCTAAATCTTTGTAAATAGCCTCTTTATTAAATTGTCCTCAAATTACCCAGTCTGAACATGCTGTTTTTGTGCCTGACCTGTCACAGAGACCAGTAGCCAGGGCACAGTTTTGCAAACTATATATGTGAAGGGTAAAATCCAAGGGGAAGGATGAAGGTAAAAAGGAAACAAAGACAGGGGTTGCGAATTCTTTCCAAACCCAAGCAGTCCATACACAAGCAGAAAGTCCGACTTTATTAGTATGGAATAAGGGATAAACACGTCTTCCTCTTTCCTCTACCAGATTCTATAAGGAAAAGTTATTCTTAAACACCCCTGACTTCTCTCCTCTCTGTAACCTCTATCTGCTTCTACCAGAAGAGGAGTGAATTATTTGGCTGGTGCCTTTGGGACTGGGACCTGGGCCGCCTAACTTAGTTTCTCCTTCTGCTTCCTCTTTGAACTCCACCTGCTGCAGAGCATGTGTATTCTGCGCTGCTGCTTCATGCAGAGGAGGCCTGGTAATGTTCTGCCTGTGGCCTGTGTCTATTTCTAATTCTGGGGTTCAGAATATGGAAGCACATGGTTGTAGCATATCCCAACCATATCCTCCAAACCAGCTTTAAAAGGACTGTATTTTGACTTTTTAAATGATAGCCATTCTGACTCATGTGAGATGATATCTCATGTGGGTTTTTATATTTATTTATTTATTTATTTATTTATTTATTTATTTATTTATTTATTTGATGGAGTCTCACTCTGTTACCCATGCTGGAGTGCAGTGGCATAACCTCGGCTCACTGCAACCTCCATCTCCCAGGTCCAAGCGATTCTTCTGCCTCAGCCTCCGGAGCAGCTGGAATTACAGGTGTGCACCACCACACACTGCTAATTTTTTTTTTTTTTTTTGTATTTTTAGTAGAAATGGGGTTTCACCATGTTGGCTATGTCACCAGGCTATTCTGGAACTCCTGACCTCAAGTGGCCCACCCACCTGGGCTTCCCAAAGTACAGGCGCTCATTGTGGTTTTGATTTGTATTTCTCTGATGACTAGTGATGTTGAACATTTTTTCATATGCTTATTGGTTGCTTATATGTCTTCTTTTGAGAAGTGTCTGTTCATGTCTTTTGCCCACTTTTTAATGGGGTTGTTTGGTTTTTGCTTGTTAAGTTGTTTAAGCTCCTTAGGGATTCTGGATATTAGACCTTTGTTGGATGCATAATTTGAAAATATTTTCTTTCATTCTATAGGGTGTCTGTTTACTCTGTTGATAGTTTCTTTAGCTGTGAAGAAGCTCTTTAGTTTAATTAGGTCCACTTTTTTGTTGTTGCAGTTGCTTTTGAGGACTTAGTCATAATTTTTTTCCCAAGGCCAATGTCCAGAATGGTATTTCCTAGGTTTTCTTCTAGGATTCTTATAGTTTGAGGTTTAACTATAGTTTGAGGTTTAACTTATAGTTTGAGGTTTAAATTTGACATTTAAATCTTTAATCCATCTTGAGTTAATTTTTGTATGTAGTGAAAGACAGGAGTCCAGCTTCATTCTTCTGCATATGGCTAGCCAGTTGTCCCAGCACCATTTATTGAATAGGGAACCCTTTCCCCACTGCTTATTTTTGTCAGCCTTGTTGAAAATCAGATGGCTACCAGGTGTGTGGCTTTATTTCTGGGTTCTCTATTCTGTTCCATTGATCTATGTGTCTGTTTTTGTACCAGTACTGCTGTTCTGGTTATTGTAGCCTTATGGTATAGTTTGAAGTTAAGTAATGTGATTTCCTCTAGCTTTGTTCTTTTTGCTTAAGATTGCTTTGGCCATTTAGGCTCTTTTTGGTTCCATATGAATTTTAGATTTTTCTCTAGTTCTGTAAAAAATGATGCTGGTTGTTTGATAGGAATTGCATTGAATCTTTAGATTGCTTTGGACAGTGTGGCTATTTTAACAGTATTGATCCTTCCCATCCATGAGCATGGAATGTTTTTCCATTTGTTTGTGTCATCTATGATTTCTTTCAACAGCGTTTTGTAGTTCTCCTTATAGAGATCACCTCCTTGGTTAGATGTATTTCTAGTTTTTTTTTGTGGTTATTGTAAATGGAATTGCATTCTTGATCTTGCTTGTAGCTTGAATGTTATTGTTATGTAGAAAGGCTACTGATTTTTCTACATTGATTTTGTATCCTGAAACTTTATTGAAATTTTTATCAGATCCAGGAGGCTTTTGGCAGTTTTCAGGGTTTTCCAGGCATAGAATCATATAACCAGTGAACAGAGATGGTTTAACTTCTTTTTTTCCTATTTGGATGCCTTTTATTTCTTCCTCTTGCCTGATTGCTCTGGCTAGGACTTCTAGTACTATATTAAATAGGAGTGGTGAGAGTGGGCATCCTTGTCTTGTTCCAGTTCTCTGGGGAAATGCTTTCTGCTTTGGCTCATTTGGTATGATGTTGGCTGTGGATTTGTCATAGATGGCTCTTATTATTTTGTGATACTACTTTATCATATGGATAATACTTTATTATATAATAATAATAGGTTCCTTCAATGCCTGGTTTGTTGAGTTTTTTTTTTTTTATCATGAACGGATGTTGGATTCTATTGAAGGCTTTTTCCACATGTATTGAGATAATCATATGGTCTTTGTTTCTAATTCTGTTTATGTGGTGAATCACATTTATTGATTTGCGTATGTTGAACCAATGTTGCATCCTACAAATGAAGCCTACTTGATTGTGGTGAATTAACTTTTTGATGTGCTGCTAGATTCTGTTGGCTAGTATTTTGTTGAAGATTTTTGTGTCTATGTTCATCAGGGATATTGGCCTGTAGTTTTTTATTTTTTTTTGTTGTGTCTTTGCCAGCTTTTGGTAGCAGGGCGATGCTGATTTTGTAGAATGAGTTAGAGCACAGTCCCTCCTCCTCGATTTTTTGGATAGTTTTAGTAGAATTGGTACCAGCTCTTCTTTGTATGTCTGGTAGAATTTGGCTATTCCATCTGGTCTGGGTGTTTTTTGTTTTGTTTTGTTTTGTTTTTTTGGTTGGTAGGTTTTTTATTATTGATTCAGTCTCAGAACTCAATATTGGTCTCTTCAGCGTTTCAGTTTCTCCTGATTCAGTCTTGGGAGGTTGTGTGCTTCCAGGAATTTTTCCGTATCCTCTAAATTTTCTAGTTTGTGCTCTTAGAGATGTTAATAGTAGTCTCTGAGGAGTCTTTGTCTTGCTGTGGGATCAGCTGTAATGTTACCTTTGTCATTTCTGATTGTGCTTATTGGGTTCTTCTCTCTTTTTTTTTTCTTTGTTAATCTAGCTAGTGGACCATCGATCTTGTTTATGCTTTTAAGTTTAGTTCAGCCATTGTGGAAAGCAGTTTGGAGATGTCTCAAGTAACTTAAAACAGAACTACCATTTCACTCAGCAATCCCATGACTGGGTGTATCTCCAAAAGAAAATAAATCATTCTACCAAAAAGACACATGCACTTGTATGTTCATTGCAGCACTATTCACAATAGCAGAGACATGGAATCATCCTAGATGCCCATCAAGAGTGGATTGGATAAAGAAAATGTAGTCCATGTACACTATGGAGTACTATGCAGTCATAAAAAAGAACAAAGTTATGTTCTTTGCAGCAACATGAATGCCGCAGGAGGCCATTATGCCAAGTGAATTAATACAGGAACAAAAACCCAACTACTGCATGCTCTCACTTATAAGTAGGAGCTAAACGTTGGGCACTCATGGAAAGATGCTCTCAATAGAAACTGGGGACTACTAGAGGGGGCAGGGAGGGAGAGGGACAAGGATTAAAAAACCACTTATTGGGTGCAATGCTCACTCTCTGGGTGCTGGGATCATTTGTATCCCAAACCTCAACATCATGCAATATACTCATGTAACAAACCTGCAAGTGTATCCCCCAAATCTAAAATAAAAGTTGAAATTATAAAATAAAATAAAGTATCTCTATAGACAAAATAAAAATAAAGTTATCAGGTGAAAAAAAAAGCCCTGAAGGCCAGGCACGGTGGCTCATACCTGTAATCCCAGCACTTTGGGAGGCTGAGGTGGGCGGATCTTGAGGTCAGGGGTTCGAGACCAGCCTGACCAACATGGTGAAACTCCGACCCTACTAAAAATACAAAAATTAGCCAGGCGTGGTGGCGTGTGCCTTTAATCCCAGCTACTTGGGAGGCTGAGGCAGGAGAGTCACTTGAACCCAGGACGCGGAGGTTGTGGTGAGCCGAGATCGTGCCACTGCACTCCAGCCTGGGCAACAGAGCGAGGCTCCGTCTCAAAAACAAAAATAAAAATAAAAATAAAAATAAATAAAAATTTTAAAAAAGCCTTGTAGCGGCAAGAGACGTGGTTTCATTCTATTTTATGGCTGAATAGAATTCCATTGTCTGTATGTACCACATTTTTTAATCTAATCATGTTCTGACTTTTAAATGACTGCAAAATAATGTGTACACGAGGACACAGAGTGTGGAATAATAGACATTGGAAACTTGGAAGGGTAGGAGAATGGGGGTGAGGGAAGATAAATTACTTAAAAGGTACAATGCATGTTATTCAGGTGATGGGTACACTACAAGCCCAGACTTCACCACTACACAATAAATCCATGTAACAAATTTGTATTAATACTTGTACTCCTTAAAGGTATACAAATAATAATTTAAAAAGTACCGTATCTGATATTTTGACCTTCATTGGCAAGACTTTCTTTGTCTCTTCATCAACCTATCACGTATAGTTGAATAATAATCATGGAAATTCAAACCAAATAAGATTTGCCCTTTTACTTGTCCCAATGGCTAACATTTTAAAGTGAAAATACTCATTGCTGGTGAGATTGCAGAGAGTTGGGCATCTCATTTGTTTTTGTTAGGGGCAAAAATTGGCACAAATATTTTGAAGTACAATTCAGAAATGTGAGTCAGAAGCCTTAATAGGTTCATAATCAATAATTTCAAGATTTGGATAATAAAGTAATCTGAGATGCAAAGAAAGACTTACGTACAAAGATTAATTTCAGCATTGTGAATATGAGCAAATCTTGAGAAGAGAAACTTAAAGGCTTATCAGTAAGAAAAAAGTAAAGCCAGCCACATTCCCATGAATTAGTAGGTACCCTTCAAAACGATACTTTCAATGAGCATTTAATGACAGAAGAAAATGATTCTTTTTTTTTTTTTTTTTTGAGATGGAGTCTCATTCTGTTGCCCAGGCTGAAGTGCAGTGGCACGATCTCGGCTCACTGCAATCTCCACCTCCCAGGTTCAAGCAATTCTCCTGCGTCAGCCTCCCGAGTAGCTGGGACTACAGACGTGTGCCACCACACCTGGCTGATGTTTCGTATTTTTAGTTGAGATGGGGTTTCCCAGGTTAGCCAGGATGGTGGTCTCGATCTCCTGATCTCGTGATCCGCCTGCCTTGGCCTCCCAAAGTGCTGGGATTACAGGCGTGAGCCACCGTGCCCAGCCCTGGCAGAAAATGATTCTAATATGATACAAAGTGAAAAGAGCAGAAGAGAACATTCTTGAGCATATGATGCTGACTGTGAACATGTGGAAGAGAAAAGACTGGGTTGATTCTGTGTGACAGTTACAAGCCCTTCTTGATTTATTTTTTTGTTTTCTACAGCCCACATATTTCTATTGTAAACATGCCTATTCTACCCACCCCACTCCCCCAGTTACTCAGGAAAAAGGAGACCCATGTGCCATCCTCTTTCTGGGAATCTGTGATGTCACCAAAGGATCTTTGCTGGAGTATGGAGTGAGTTGCATGATGTTTTCTGCAAGAGGAGTCTTCCCTAGTCTTTCAAAACAGGTTGCTGACTTCCTGATGTTCTGGGGGTGTGTGTCCAAAGGGGCAGCCTTGCTGAGGAAGCACCCCCTCAGAATGTTCTTTCGCCGACCTCTCATCCTGTGGTTTCTCCCGGGATCTCTCACCAGGTCTTTCTCTCTGTCCCCCATGAGGACTTTTGGAAGGTGTTGTTCTCTTGCGTGGGCATTACACTCCTGATGCTCCTGATTGTGCTGTTGCAGCGCAGGCTTCCTTTCAGTGTTTGACCAGCAGATACACCCACACAGATGTGCACGCAGAACCTCAGCATTGCCCTTTATGAATATGCAGAGTTGTATAGCTGCCCTGCCACTGGGTCTGGCAGTGGGTCCTCGTCACTAAGGAAGTGACCCTGGCTTTTTGCTTTGCATGAATAACAGGAAGGGGCCTCAGAAGAGGGGATGAAGTGGCCATTCTGAGCAGCACCATCTACGTCAGCAGAAACTGGAAGGCCGAGACCCATGGAGAAGCTGGGAGGAGTTGCCAGAGAGAGGAAAATTCCAAACCCTGCCCATCTTATCTGTGAGGACCAGCCCCTGAGTCTGTTTCTGCTTGCTGCTAGAGGCTGGGCACTGGGCCTAGGAGGTCTGGGAAGACACAGTGAAGGGAAGGTGCTTTGGGAGAGAGAGAGCCGTGATGAGGGCCAGGTCTTACCAAGGATGCTGTGCTTGGTGGGCATGACCTAGTGTGGCCTTTCAAACAGAAGGAACACATCTCTCGTTTGAGATGGTATCTTTTGCTTTCCCCATATCCTTAAAGTAGAAGAGTTAACTCATGTGGTCTGTGCTGACAGGGAGTTGCCCAGACTCTAAACAGATCCTAAGTCATTAGCAGCTGGGTGAATGGAAATGAGGACTTGGGGAGAGGGGTATGCACCCCTGGCTGCCCCAGCAGTGGGGAGAGGTGTGCCAAGTCATTACACTGAATTGTGGTACAGGTCAGGGGTCCAAGCACAGGCTGTGGACTCTGTTAGAGGCTCAGTCTAAGGCTGATATCAGCTTTAGCCTTTGGCTAGGCCAGCCCTGTGTCTGTAGAGGAGGTAGTGGCTTAATCTAAGGCCATTACCGCCCTCTATCAGTGACTGAGGCCTGCAGCTGACATCAGGGCCTATTGGGTGGCCAGGTTAGAGTCAATGTTCTTCCTCTTATTCTAAAAGACTCAATTGGCTCAGTAGGAGAGGCACAAGCATTATCTGCTGGACTCTGCCTTGGTGTCACCCCTGAGAATGTGCCTAAGGAAAAGGACAATTCTAAGAAGCCGAGGACTCAGAAACCAAACTTCCCATACATCAGTGCCCCAGTTGCCACTGCCCTTCCTGCCTTCCCATCCCCCAGTCCAGCCTTGCTAGCACCACCTCATCTCCCGACCCACACCTGTGAGCCCAGGCTGGTGTGTGATGGCAGAATCCAGTGAGGGGGTGTCAGATGCTCACCCCGGGGAAGCTCACAATCTGACTGGGCAGGTTTGGGACCTGTGGGAACAAGAGCAGTTCCATACACCATGGCCCTGATTAGGAGCCTCCTGTGCTCTGAGGAGGGGCAGCTCCAGATAGCTGGGGCAGCCAGGGGGGACTTCCTGGAGGAGGTGACGTTGGCACTGACTGGTAAAACTCTGGCAGGCAGTAAGGCCAGAACCCAGTCCTATCAAGAGACATATAAAAACCTGGCACTACCAAAAGCCTTTTCTAGATGTTACTTGACTTCAGGCACAATATTTTGATAGTTTCCACATAGGATGAATCTGAAACATATGCATTAACTTCTCCTTAAAGATATACACTTGTTTCAGTTAGCAAGATGTAACATGGGGTTTGATGAAAGTACAGTAACTGAAGAACTGTGTGGGATCCAAGACTGGGAGGTCTCAGAAGCTACAGTGTCACTGTGTGGGATCCAAGACTGGGAGGTCTCAGAGGTTAGAGTGTCACTGTGTGGAATCCAAGACTGGGAAGTCTCAGAGGCTAGAGTGTCACTGTGTGGAATCCAAGACTGGGAGGTCTCAGAGGCTAGAGTGTCTTGCTGTCTGTACCTGGAAGCCGCTTCTCCAGTTCACACACAGCAGGGACCTGAGACAGCATTACCTGCCCCAGGTGCTCTTCTGAAGATGTTCTAGCACCCAAAAGCTCAAGTCCAAAGTCAGGCTGGATTTTAATGTGTTTCTTCTACTACAGAGGATGCAGACACAAGCTGGGTCTACCCTCACTAAGGAGCTCATGGCTTGGAAAAGACAGTGAAGCTCTGATCCTCTAAATTTGTTTGGTCATGTTTATTCTCATCAAACCTCCCCTTCTTCCCTTGAGTCTTTCTGATGCAGGTGGTCCTTACATCCCACACTGAGATAGTCTAGCTACACTTCTATTAATCCGCACTACAAAGAGAGATTTTTGTGAGGATTAAGGTTTGGTATTGCTTAACCACAGACCTGAGATGAATCCAGACACCCCTTTCACAACTGGTATGTCACCTGCCTTACTTTGGCATGGAAATGGCCCTTTGAGGTGGTGCCCTCAGATCTCCATCACTGAATGAGGGTTCTTCCTGTGGACAGGGTGATGTGGAAGAAAACGGCCACTCTTGCAAGCATGTGTTTGGATGAGCAATTTTTCAGAACACAAATGCCACCAAAGTTTGTTGACAAAGTGAATCCTGAGGTGTGAGGTGGAAGGATATCTCACTGCATTAGTTGCCTACTATATAAAAAAAGTTACACCAAAGTTAATGGCTTAAAACAACAATCAGACTTTATGATCTACCATGGTTTCTACGGGTCGAGGTTTGGGAAGAGCTTGGGTGTGCAGTTCCGGCTCAGGGTCTCTGCAGGGCTGCCGTCATCTGGAGGCTTGACTGGAGCCAGAGGCCCTGCCTTCGATGGAACTCACTCACATGGTTGGCAAGTCGGTGCTTTGCTGTGATCTAAATGTTCGTATCTCCCCCGAATTCATACGTTGAAATCCCGGTCCTCAAGGATTAGGGTTAGGAAATCCTAACCCTCACTGACTGGACTCGGCCCCAGCAGCAGCTTGCACAGCCCTATCAGTCTCAGCCACTGGCTGGTGGTGCCAGGAGTGTCCAGAAATCCTCCACACAACCCGAGGTTCAGCGCGGGGATACTGAGACCCGTCACCTCAGGGTGATTTTTTTAGAAGGTGGAGCCTTTGAGAGGTGATTCAGGAGGGCTTCACCTTATGAATGGGATTAATGCTCTCATAAAAGAGGCCAGAAAGCGACTCCTCTTCCCTTCTGGTGTGTGAAGTTACATTGAAAAGATGGTCGTCTGTGAACAAGGAAGTGGACCCTGGCCAGACATTGTACCTGCTGGGGCTTTGATCTTGGACTTCCAGCCTTCAGAACTGTGAGAAATACATTTCTGGGTTTTTTTTTTTTTTTTTTTTTTTTTTTTGATGGAGTTTCACTCTTTGTTGCCCAGGCTACAGTGCAGTGGGACGATCTCGGCTCACTGCAACCTCTACCTCCTGGATTCAAACGATTCTCCTGTCTCAGCCTCCTGAGTAGCTGGGACTACAGGCGCACGCCACCACGCCCAGCTAATTTTTGTATTTTTAGTAGAGACCGGGTTTCACCTTATTGGTCAGGCTGGTCTCAAACTCCTGACCTCAGGTGCTCCACCCACGTCAGCCTCCCAAAGTGCTGGGATTACAGGTGTGAGCCACCGCGCCCGGCCAAATTTCTGTTGTTTATAAGCTGCCCAGTCCATGGTATTTTGTGATAGCCACCTGAGCGGATGGAGACAGTGCTGGGTGTTGGCAGGGGGCTTCTGTTGCTTTCCACGCAAGCAATGCCACAGGGCTACTAGAGTGTCCTCATGATATGGTGAGGTGCAGGTGTACCCAACAGCTCCGAAGAGACAGCGACCATCGAGAACGGGCCATGATGACGATGGCGGTTTTGTCGAAAAGAAAAGGGGGAAATGTGGGGAAAAGCAAGAGAGATCAGATTGTCACTGTGTCTGTGTCCCCCAGAGGGAGTGATTCAAAGGAGGGAGATGGAAGCAGTAGTGTCTTTTATGACCTAGGCTTGGAAGCCACATATCATTACTTTTTCCATGTTCTATTGGCCACCTAGGCCAATCTGGTGTGATGTGAGAGGGAACTGCACAAGCCACGAAACCAGGCAGTGAGGAAACCATTGCAGAGGCTAGAGGTTCCATTACCAAGTAACTCACACGCATCCAATCCAGCTGGACATCCCGTGGTGGCAGTAAACTACTCTGTTCAAGTCACCTGCAGAGATTTCCCACTCAGAGAGGGCCCGCTGGGAGTGGTCTTCCACCCTGAGACCACCCCACAATTTATAACATGTCACATTACAGTCATTAGTCACTGAGTCACTAAGGGAATGCCCAAATGCTTGGTGAGATGTGAATGATACTTGAGCACCGAGGAGAAAAAAGGCAGAGAAGGGTGATGGGTTAATAGGGGTAATAGTGATGAATTAGGAGCCAGAAGACCTGGGTCCTACTCAGTAAGCCAGTGGGCACTGCCTGTGTGCCAGTGAGAAGAACACTCTCAGTTAGCAGAGGTCTAGGGGGATGCTGAAGTGGGTGGTTCTGGAGTTAGATAACTGGTCACCTGCTCGCCAACGGACTGACTGTCTCTGAGCTCTGCCTCTTTATATGGACAGATTGCCTGATGCGCACCGGTGATCAGTGAGTGCTAGCTACTATTATTGGAGGGTTATTATGCCTACAATAACCCAGCTCTCAGCTCAGGCCCTGTGCCATGTGTATTCCAGAAATTATCTTACTAACTGTCCCAGCACCTCTCAGGATTCAACTTCCATTCCCACCATCATTGCCCATGGGCACACCGTGGCTGCCACAGCCACAGGCACAGGGACATGGGCCAATTCACATCTTTCAGAATGTGGGTATAGATGCAGGTGAGTCGGAAGATTTGTGGAGAGAGAGGGGATGATCCAGGCTTGTCTGGTTGCTTCTCTTTTCTCTGTGAATTCAAAAGCAAGGTTGTCAGCCCAGAGAGGGCCTGAGAATTTGTGCTGGGCCAAGATCAGAGGCAAAGGGAATCCCTTTGTCTGGGGTGTTATTTCTGCACAAAGAACCTCTAGGGCGAGGCCCAGGCCAACAGCTTCATTAATGCCACATTGGAAAAGTCCTCCAAGCATCCCGCCTTTTGGAGCTGGGCCTGCAAAGCGCTTAGAATAGCACCTGGTTTGCTGTGGTTGCTGCTGCCGTGGCGGCTGTAGCGGCTCTCACCCCGACCACTCCTCTTTGCTTCCTTCAGCCAGGAGATGGGGATACTGTGGGGTGTAGCACACAGGCCACGTCCAGCAGGTCTGCAGCAATGGCAATGAGACTCTGCTGGGAGTCACTGACCGAACTCGGCACCAGCAGCATCCTGGACAACCCGATCAGAGTCTCATCTGCAGGCTGATGGTGCCAGGAGTGTCCAGTAGTCCTTCATACAACCTGAGGTTCAGCACGGGGATACTGAGACACAGTGAGAAAAAGAGACTCGTCCTATATACCACAAAGAGCCTGGAAGAATTGAGGCTAAAACCCAGAGCACCTGACTCCCCTGACTGGGGCTCTTTCTACTACTCTTCATTGCCTTTTCTTCTATGCATATATCCAGGCTGTCTTTGTGGAGCTCCCCTGACATTTAGCTTCTGCTTTGATTGATATCTTATCTGTGGGCATGCTGGTCTGGGCCCCAGCAGCCTCCATAGAAGTTTGAGCCGTAACATTCCTTGAAGATATAATACAAGTTAAGAACCAGGCTTGTGTTAAGTGTGGGATATTACCAGTGAATGAGGCACGTTCAGCCTCTATCCCAGAGAACCCCAAAGAGCAGTATGTGAGGCAGACAGTGTTAGACAAGGCCAAAAAAACAAGTGAATTGCAATACCCAAAAATGAGGGCAGTAGCAGGAGCATGGATGAGGCATGGTGAGAGCCCCGTGGGGTGGGTGAGGACACTGTCCTTGGAGAATCTGTGAAGTCTTGCCCAGGAGGTGACCCCTGAGTCATCAGTGAAGGAGAGATCAACCTTGTTAGATGTGTGGCCTCGCTTTGAATGCATGACTTAAGTCCACAGTGCCTCAGTTTCCCTGGCTATAAAACAGGGAATAAGAACAGCATCCTCCTCACAGTGTTATTCTAAGGATTAAAAACACCTATGACATGCTAAGCAGGGGACTGGCACATAGTAAACGCTCAGCGAGTTCTGATTGTTGATGCTACTGTTATCACAGAGGCCCCTAGTGGTCCACCACCAGGGGATCTTTTCAGAAGCCAAGGGAAGGGCTAGGGCAGACAGCACTGGGCATATTGAAGAGAAAGGGAACTCAAGAAGCCTGAAATATGAAGCCAGGATCAGTGGAGGCAAAATCCATTCTCAGTAGAGGCAGAATCCATCTCATTATCATAGCTGGCCAGAGAACTGGGTCCCTCCTAGAGTGGTGAGCTCCCCGTGACTGAAGGTGTGCAAGTAGATGATGAGGAGTTACTTGGTAGAGATGTGGAATGTGCGTGTGAGTGCAGGAATGTATTCGTGTGTATTTGGGCGGGGGGGTGATTTTCTTCCCCAGAAATTGTGGCTTTTCTTCCCCTGAATCTCACTGCAATTCAGGGCCCTTCCATTCATGAGGATCTATTGTTCTATTTCTAAATCCCTGAGATCCAGCACCAAAGGGCCAGGTTAAGCTGGGCTTCTGACTTTATCGCAGGCTCACACAATAGCCATGCTCCTGCCAGCTTCACTGGGGAGGGGGGACTGAAAACCTTTGTGGGTAATCCACAGCTTTAGCTGACTGAGGGGCAGGTATTAATTAAAGTGCAGATTAACTGTCGGTCATGGGTATCAGCACCGGGACTTAGAATTGCTTAATACGAGAGTTTGTTACACTGTTTTGCCGTGAGAAGGCAATATTGATCAGGAATCCCTGGCCTGGAACTAATTGAATATTCACCTCCAAATTGCAATGGCTGATTATGTAGAAGGTCATCTCTTTTATTTTTACTTGGGAAATTGCAGAGAGGTTGGCACACAGTGAAAGAGGAGAAGAAGCCGAAGAGGGAGGGAGAGGAGAGAGAGAGAGAGAGAGGTAGCAGGGGAGAAAAAGAATGAGAATGAGATAGGGAATTATTATTTTCTTTTTTGGCCTGAGAAATCAGATATGACAAGCCGGATAACATCTTCATCTTGAAACAACTTCTTATCCCTTGGAGAGGAGCTTCCTTGTTGTCCAAGTTAACCAGGAAGTGTTTGCAGTACTGTAATTTTAATGAAGGAAGCTTTCAGTATGTTAATCGTGGGAATACACGAATATGAATTCATTACTCTCTGAGCCGTCTCCCGCCACATGGTAGTGTGAGGAACTATGATAACATGCTTGTAACGGTGTTTTTGGACTCCTGCAGCTTCTGAGAAAGGGTAGGATCCTGGAAATGTCTGCAGGAGCTGAAACAGGAGGAAATGGGTCTCCGCGGGGGGTCTCAGGGCTCTAGAGTCCTGAGCTGTCTCAAGGTGGCCGAAACTGGACCCTGAAGTGTCTAGAAGGGTGGTGTTCCCCTTCTGCTGACTTCTGACTGCAAGCCAATGGCCTGCCCGCCTTCCTACCTCTAGCACAGACACAGATGGGTGCACACACCCAGACTTTGGTGCACACACATCTTACGTCCTGGCTGACGGTCAGAGAGTGAGGAAAGTGATGGCGAACACACAAACCAGGGTGACTCAGGCTGCAGAAAAACTGTTCCAATTGCCCCGTGGTGAGGACTGCAAACTCCATCCCATTTGAGAGTGGGCTCCAAAGCTGGGCATGAAGTCAACATCAACTGGTGGAGACGGGTGAAGATATTCCAAGGAAAAGGTGCACAGTCAAAGGCACAAGAAACAATGTGCTGTGTTCCAAAGACATCAAGGATCTTGATGGAGTGAAGGTGGGTGTGGCTCAGCGTGGGGCTGGGGCCTGGACCGCAAAGAGCCTCAACGTTTAGACTTTGCCCTGAGCGCCATGAGGAATCACTGGAGGTTTTGCTGCAGGGGAGTGATGGGGCAAGGTTATAGGAAGACCATGGATTTGGAGGTTGAGGAAGGAGTTGGAAGGAGACTCAAGCTAGGAGACCACTGAGGAGGTAATTACAATATCCAGGGGCAAGCTGACGAAGATCCGAACCAGAGAAGTGACTTGGGGTGGGGAGAGGAGGGCTGTTGTTGGAAGAAGGAGTGGCTTTGATTGGGTGGGAGGATACGAGGATGAGAGAAGCCCAGGATGACATCAGTGACTTAATAAGTGAGTGGATGATGGCACTGGTGAGATGGGAACACAGGATCAGATGCATATTTGGGGAGAAAATGGAACATGAAGTCTTGGCTGTGCCAAGTCCTAGAACTTAAGAGGTGCCCAGGGCAGCTGGATCTACAGGCCTGGTATTTAGGGGACAGACACAGGTATGGGGGTCATAGAGACAGATTTAGCAATTGAGGCCAAGTGAGAGGAAGCTATATGATGAGCCAGGGGAGTGTGAGAGTGGGAAGCCCAACCCCGAAAAAACAGCACCCCTTAAGGCAAATAAAAAGCACCCAGGGACTGAGGAGCCACCATCCACTATCTAGGCCATATCCCAAGGAGTGAGCTTAATGAAAGGCAACTCACTAATAGTAGCCAGCATTCACTGATCACCAGTACACATCAGGTAACCTGTCCATACAATGGAGGACAACTGAGGCAAGGGGAGGAGGAGAGCATAGGGGGCAGCATCACATGGGGCAGCCGGCTGGGGAAGGCCTGTCTGAGCAAGGAAGTTTGAGCTGAGACCCAAAAGAATGGAACAAGTTAGCCACGGGGCTGTTTGGAGAAAGCAGATGCCAAAAAGAAGTGGCACTGAGTACAAAGGACCTGGCAGGTGCCTGCTTGTTGAGTTGATGAACAGTGAGAAGCCCAGTGCAGTGAAGTGGAGGGGGAGGTTCTGTATTTGTCTATTTGGCATCTGGTATGGTTTGGCTGTGTCCCAACCCAAATCTCACCTTGAATTGTAGCTCCCACAACTCCCACGTGTCATGGGAGGGACCCAGTGGGAGGTAACTGAATCATGGGGGCGGGTCTTTCCTGTGCTGTTCTCGTGTTGGTGAATAACTCTCATGAGATCTGATGGTCTTACAAAGAAGAATTCCCCTGCACAAGCTCTCACTTCACCTGCTGCCATCCATGTAAGAGGTGACTTGCTCCTCCTTGCCTTCCACCATGATTGTGAGGCCTCCCCAGCCAGGTGGAACTGTGAGTCCGTTAAACCTCTTTCCTTCACAAATTACCCAGTCTTGGGTATGTCTATATTAGCAGCATGAGAACAGACTAATACAGCATCCATTCATCACAGGGCTGATTTAACTACATTTTCCTATTTTCTGTATCGATGCTCTGGCATTTGGGGATCTTACAGGCCCAAGAAGATATTTCCCTTCTAAGGGCTATCCAACTCTTAGAGAAAGCAAAGGACACAGCTGGGAGCATGTCTTTCATCTACAAACCAACGAATCCAGAGTCTGAGCCCCCAGCCATCACCTTACCTACCCGCACACACAGGGTCAGACTTCCCTTGTCCTAAATCATCCAAAGGCCAGGTCCTGGGCAACTCGGGAACTCCCTTGAGCCCAGAGCCTGAGAGAATTATTCAAACTAGCCAGCTTGAAGCGACTTACCTGGCCCTGCCTTGTTTTTCCCAGGGAAACCCTAGTCACGGCTGTGACCCATGCCTTCCCTTGCTCCTGCTTTTGCCTCCTGACCAGCGCTGGTTCTTGCCCCTGTAGCCCTGTGTGGCACGCTGTGCCTTGGGAATTGGGAGGAACATTAAACCTTTCTCCCAGTGGAGTCGAACTCTCCATGTCATCCCTCGGTCACCGGGCCCTTTTAATTATTTGGAAGGAAAGCATCGGCGATTGCTCTTCTGCAAAGGGACAAATAGCCCCAAGAGGAAAAGGGGGTGAATAGTGGCCTCCTGGCTGGAGTGGGGCACAGGTGGGGACAGAGGAACTCAGAGGAAGAGCAGAACAGACACAGGCATCCACGATTCCTGGCACAGGCATTCCGGTGTCTGGGCTGGCATCCCGGGGCTGGATCCAAGGCCATGACCCAGGTAAGAAGGGGGCTTCTGTATGCACAAGGGGGGCCAAGTTGAGGGCCATGGGACTTACGTTTCTGATTCTTCCCTGTGTTTGGGCCAAGGCAACTCCAACAGGGCTCTGCTCCTGCCAGTCACATAGACTGGGGGAAGCCCGGGTAGAACAGGGAATTCTAATGAGTTTGTCTGGGAGAATGCTGAGTCTGGGCTTGGCAGAGAGGCCCTGCTCCCAGAGAGTGCCACCTGCACCCAGAAACACTTCTGGGGTCAAGGTGAGGAATGTTCTCAGCTGGGACAGTTTAGGGCAGGTGGACACAGTGTGCCTCTGTGTCATCTAGAATGAGGACCCTCACTTGGGGGACAGATTAGAAAAAGCTGCAGACACAGCCTCTCAGGGGCAATGTTTGCCAAGGTGCTTTAGGGCAGAAACAACTGCATCCCCTCCTCCAACCAACTTGCAGCCCAGCTTGTTGAGCAGAATGGGCAGAGAAGGACAGCTGACCTCAGACCCCTACCCCCAGGGAGGTTTCCCACTCCTAAGAGCAGGAAATTGCCCCAGCCTAAGGGACAGGCAGACACTGAGTCCGTTTCAGAATAACAGAATCTGCCTCCGTCTCCAGAGCCCCTTGCTCCCTTTCCATGGGTTAACCACACAAGACCCACACTTCCAGCTGTTGAAGAATTGGTGAATGCCACTTGAGAAACTTCAGGCAGATTCTGGGAAATGCTCCCCATCCGTCAGCAAAAAGTGGACTGCTGGGGATACGCAGAGTCCAGTTAGCTGCCCCCCATCCCCCCTCCCCCAAAATGCCTTGGATGATAAATTCGACACCGGAAAAAATAAATAAATCTGTGGGTGTGTTTCCCCTCGAGGATCTGCCACGATAAAATTGTAATGAATGAGAATGTTTCTGGGTTATGTGTTGGAAAATTAGCACAGGCTTGCATTAATTGAAATTTAGTTCTTTATGTATATCAATTCCCTTTTATCCTTCTGGGATTCGCAGCAGTGAGAAAGACACTGAGCAACAGATTAATCCAAGTGTTGTCAGCGACAATGATAAATTGAGGTTTAAAAGCCTACATTGAGATAAATTACTATTAAAATCTAGGCCTCCCCTCTCCTGTTAAGTCTGTAGAACCAAGAATTTGTTAAAAATTCTTGGCCTTTCATTAAGCTCACTCCTCCTCCCCTTGCCTCAGTTGTCCTCCATCTCTTTACCACTTGGCTTGATTTTTTTTTTTTTTCTGAGATAGACTCTCACTCTCTCACCCAGGCTGGAGTGCGGTGGCGTGATCTCAGCTCACTGTAACCTCCTCTCCTGAGTAGCTGGGACACAGGTGTGTGCCACCATGCCCAGCTAATTTTTTGTATTTTTAGTAGAGACGGGGTTTCACCATGTTAGCCAGGATGGTCTTGATCTCCTGACCTCGTGACGCACCCGCCTCAGCCTCCGAAGTGTTGGGATTACGGGCATGAGCCACTGTGCCCGGCCGGTTTGATTTATTCATTGTTTATGTCTACTAGAAGTAGGGTGGGACAGGGCTGGGTTGAATCCCAGACCCTTTGAAAGTAACTGGCATATAGTAGGTGCTCAGAATATGTGTGTTGGATGAATTATAAAACGGCAGCTCAGCTTCAGGTTTCTTGCCTGCAAAATGGACATAGCAACACTCACATCTCAAGACTGTTGGGAGAATAAATGAGGCACAAAGTGGGAAGGCTGTCCCCACGGGTCCTCGGAAGACTAAGAGGGCAGATCCCACCCCCCTCACTGGCCCCTTCAGAGAACCAAGGCTTTGGTGTCTGGCTCTGGGGAGTGTGGCTCTGCCACTGTGAGTGCCTGCAGGCAGCTCGAGCCACGCGCTGCCAGCCATGATATTTCACAGGTGCTGCCTCTGTTTGCCTTAAACATTTCAGGGTGCAGCAGCAACACACCACGACGCAGGAACGCATAGTCTGCCATGTGAAGCCAAGCATGAGCTGGGGCTTCTGAACACATCCTTACGCGGAGACTGCAGTCATTAGTATAATTATTAGGGAGGTTAACGAGGCTGGGAACGGCACATTGAGCATACACTTAAACAGAACCTTTAAAAAAAAGTGGGTGGAAAAGTTTGCCTGCTCGGCTTTCTCCTTTTTTTAGAACTGGGATTTCAGGGTTTGAACTTAACATGTTGGAAAATGTACTTCCTACCTTCCCCCCAAACTTGCCCTGACTCTTAGTCTCCAGATGGCTGATAGTGGCATCCCCATACTAGGGTGAAACCCAGAGTTTCTGAGATTCTCTTGCCATCCATACCTGGCTGGTGACCAAGGCTGCTAATTCCACATCCTTAGTATTTCCCAACTTGGTCTGCTGTGCCCATCCACTGCCACCATCCCAGGCGAATCTGCATCTCCCTGGATGACAGCATTGCCTCCTAACTGCCTCCCAAGCCCATATCTTCCTGTTCGCCTTTTCCTTAGGCTGTGTTCTCCGGAAGCAGGTTCTGATATGAAGATTCCTGTGAAAGACATGCATTAGGAAACGTTCCCAGGATAAACCAGGAGGTGAGTGGAGAAGTGAGATTGGGAAGGGAAGGGGCCCAGGAATAGGAGCACACAGCCCACATAGGGGAACTCAGTTTAGTCTAACAGTAGACAGGGTCCATCATGCCTCAGAGCTGGCCCCACCAGGGTGAGGAAGCTGGAGTATTTATACCTGATGACCTCAAGTATGGGTTAGGCCATAGTTCTCAAACTGTGTGCCAAGGCAGATGCCGTGGCATATTTTAAGTCTTTAAGGGAAACACCGCAACAGCTGCCAGACACCACTCCTGAGACAGTTCACAGTTTCAACATCAGACTGCCCTGCATTTCCTTGGCTGATGTCACATCTTTGTGAAGCTGAGTGTTAAGCAGAAGCTGTGACAAAAAGGAAGTACTGAATGGAAATCAGAGTAGAGCAGGCAATGAGGGTGGTGGCATCCAATGTGATTCTGAGAACTGAAAAGTTGTGCAGTGCCCAACAGGCACACACATCCCATGAATAAGTAATTGTGTTTATTTATGAGTGAAATCAACACATTCCTTTCTGTTTTAATTTTTGGGTATCATATTTGTCAACAGCTGCTAAGTTGTTAGGCTATAAATACTAGTTAAGCTGTTTGCACCTTACTACATAATAAATGGAACTGTTAGGTTTGTTTTGTTTGTTTGTTTGTTTTTTAGCCTAGGAATGAGTGCTGTGAAAAATTACTGAGTCTCCAAGGGCTTCATGAACTGTGGAAGTTCTGGAACCTCTGGGTTAAGGGCTGCCCCTGGGTGGATGTAAATTTCCAAGCCCTCTGGCTCTTGGTGCTACAAGCAAAGGGGCCTCCAGCAGCCTGAGGACAGCCCTCTGGCAGAAAATCGCAGGCGTGGGCTGCTGGGAGTGAAGGTGCCCCAGGAGCCAGTGTGCAGGGGAAATGGCAAAGGCGAGGGTGGATATCGGCATCTGCTACGCTAGCGCTTCTGAAACTGCAACATGCACACAAATCACCTGGGGACCTTGTTCAATGCTGATTTAGGAGGGGCCTGAGAGTCTGCTTTTTTTTTTTTTTTTTTTTTGAGACAGAGTCTCCTTCTGTTGCCAGACTGGAGTTCAGTGGTGTGGCCTTGGCTCACTGCAACCTCCACCTCCCATGTTCAAGCAATTCTGCCTCAGCCTCCTGAGTAGCTAGGACTACAGGCACCCGCCACCAAGCCTGGCTAATTTTTTTGTGTATTTTTAGTAGAGGAAGGGTTTCACCATGTTGGCCAGGCTGGTCTCGAACTCCTGACCTCAAATGATCCACCCACCTTGGCTTCCCAAAGTGCTGGGATTACAGGCATGAGCCACTGCTCCCAGCCAAGAGTCTGCATTCTTAATATGTTGCCAGGTGATGCTCCTGTCACTAGTCTGTGGCTCCCACTTGAATTAGCCAGAGCTATATCCCTTGTTCTGCCTCCTGGGCCCACACATCCACTGGTTTCCCTCAATGGCTCTCCAGTCCAAGCCTGATGTGGGCTTTGTGGGGAAGCCCCAGACCCCGCCCCAGCTCTGAGCCCCACGCAGACTGAGCAATCCAGGTTCAGCCCTGCTTGCAGCCTGAGGAGACTGAGTAACAAGACCCCTGCCCGTAGTCAGCCAACCCCCTAATTACTCTGTTTTCTTCCAGAAGTCTAAGGGCTCTGGACTCTATGTGACAAGCATAGGTGAAACTGGGGAGACAAAAGGCACCACACAGCTGAACACTGAGTTTAGAATGCCCCGACAGTAAGCTGGCCTCCTGGGACCAGAAGCTGCTGGGCTGGGAAAGGCTTTGGACACGGGCTATAGCCCAGCCCCATTTTAGCAGTAGGGAAGTCGAGGCCTAGAGATGAGCCTCAGAGCTGAGACTGGAAGTCAGGGCCTCAGATCCTACACCCAGGACACTGGCTATTCCCTGTGACTGCCAAGTCCAGTTTAGGGTATCTTGAGCTCCAGACGTTGGAAGTAAACTGCCCCCAGATATTAATAGTGCTATTCCCCACTAATGTTCCAAGAGTTGAAGTTCACTGATAAGATCTTGGGGGTGCACTGCATGAAATATGGTGGGGAATGCTGTCCCAAAACGTGGAATCCATCCTGTCTTGGACGTTGGGGCACAGTCATGCCAGAAGCTGGAGATGAGTGAACAGTTTCATTGGCCCCGGGTGGACAGAGAGCAAGCATTGCTGCTGAATCTGGTTCCGATGGAGAGGAGTAGTTTCTCTCCTTGGCTCCCCACCCAGTCTTCAAAGGTCCACAGCTGTCGTCTTCCAGAGTAACTACCGCTGCAGCAAGTGCACCGAGCAAGCATCCTAGGCCCGATTTTCTCCTGAGGTCTGCTAAGTCTTCCAGGCTTCTTTATCCATGCTACCTACATCTTGAGACTTGAGCTCAGTGTGTCACTCACAGAGGGGACAGAGGAAGAGCTGTGGTGTGACTGACAGCGGGTTTTAGCATTGCAAGGATCTTAGTATGAACCTGGCTTCAGCTCTCCACTAGCTATGTCTACAAATGGTACCCTTACTCCCATTTCTTGACTCCTGGTGTCAGAATGATGCATTCATACCCTTTGCAATGCGACCTTACAAGATCTCTCAATAGAAGAGGTGAAATATCTTTCCCTCTCCCATAGATGTGGGTCTTGGCCAAGAAACTGTTCCATATTTGCATGTCTTGGCTTGGAATCTGGCTCTTCTGCCATCTGCCATGAGAGGAATGGAGTGGGTAACCACTGGTCCCAGGAGAATGAGATCCTTGAAACAGCCCAACCCACAGCCTGGAGCCCAGCCCATGAGAGCCACGGCTGTCAGTGGGAAGTAAGTGCTTGTTGCCATCTCCTCAGTCTGCAGACAGTGTGTGTTGCATAGCATTATTGCCACAATAGCTGACTAATGGACTGTGGGACCCTTGGCTAGTTACTTATGTTCATCTCTGTGAGATGCAGTTTCCTCATCTATAAAAAAATGAGCAATAACCCTTTACCTTGAAGCCCTAGTGTGATGGTTTAATGGGCTATGACATAAGTAAAGCACATGGCCTGGTGCCTGCTCCACAGAAGGCTCTCGATGAATGGTGGTTTTAAAAAGAGGGAAGAGTGATTCCATAAGAGCTTGATTTGACAAAAGGGTGTTGAGTGCCCACAGCGGCTGGCTCGGTGCCAGACACCATGCGGAATGGATTTAAAATCCAGTTCCTGTTACATGATTCATATTGGCCTCAGACAGGTCTTTGGGCAGAAATCCAGGCCAGATTGGGGGTGGGGCAGCAGGAGAGTCTGAAACCTCTTCTCCTAAATCTTGAGCCTCACTACTCGTAAATGAACCTGCATGTTCTCTTCCTGAGCATGAGTTGACTTTCATGTTTCTTGGCAACAAAAGCAACTTTACCCATCTCCTGTCCCTTCACCAAGAGAGCGTGGTGACATATCAATCAAAACACACTGTACCAGTAGCAATACAAGATGCATCTGTTGAAGGGGGTGGTGTTGGAAGTGCTCCCCAGGCCTCCCGGATGCTCCTCCTCCCTCCAGCTCCGCACCTCTTCTCCAGAGGCCAAGGCTCTGTTAGCAAGGTGATGTAGGATGTTGAGCCCTGCTCCTAGTAATTCCAGTCAATCCTATGTGTGGCTCACATCGTTCAATCACTTCTGCAAAAATGGGCAGAGGAGGGGTGCTCTCAAAATGGCCCAGGCCCCACTGGCTCTCTGCACCCTTGCCACGGTTGCCCTCCTAATGGCTGTGAGCAGAGTGTGTGGGAAGTCAGTTTCTGCTGGACTCCTGGGAGGTCTGGGTGGGCTGCCTGCCAGCCTCTGCGGCAACACAGCTGGGACAGGTGGGAGGGTGCTGAGAGAGTTGGAGCAGGGGTCGGAAGTGACAGGTGGGAGGGTGCTGAGAGAGTCGCAGCAGGGCCTGGGCAGTGACTGACTGAGGCGTGGGCATTAAAGGGATGTGCTCGCGGACTACGTGGGGGAAGAGGGGGAACTTGAGCGGGCCTCTGCATCACAGAGGGTATTGTCTTCCCCCAAAATTGCTTCCTCTGCTCCCTGTTCAGACTGGGAAGCTAATATATGCTCATTTTAGAAAATTCAAATAATACAAAAATATATAAAGAAAAAATTTTTGCCTTAAATTATATTTTAGGCAAAAAATTACCTAAAATATAATTACTCAGAAATGACCGCTGTTAACGTTTTGGTGAACACAATTCCAGACTGATTTTCTGTGTGTGTGTGTGGGGGTGGGTGGGTGTGGTATGCTGCTATTTACAACCCCAACAGCTCTCTAACGAGGGCAAGTTCTGTTTGGTGCAGAGCCGGTTGGAAGCTGACCCTGAGCCCCTCCACGGGTTTGGATACCTGCAAGAGTGGCCTATATCCAAATGTGGGGGTGAGGCAGAAAAAGAACTGAATTGCTCTGCTTCATAAAGTGAGAGGAGCTTGGTGCTCCCAGGGCCAATCAAGCGCTAGAGGGAGAGCAATAGAGCTGAAAATAGAAAGAAAAATAAAGGAGCAAAGCGCATCCCAGCAGGAGGCTGGGGCCCTGGGTATGGGAGTGGTCAGGGGACATTTGAAAAGCAGGGGCACCTGATTGAATTTCAAGTTGCTTGCTTTGTTGCTATGAAAAGCCTTCAATGGCCTTCCCCAAGCCTTCGAGAATGCTTCCAACACACACAGACCCAGTATGAGTGTTCTGGGGGGAGACATTAAGGAAAGGGCTGAATCTATATGTGGACAGTTGTGGTGTGGAAGGAAAATTGGAACACGAGACAGTCACACAATCCTGACCTTGAGCTAATTCAGCAGAATCGGGGAGGGGCGGGGGGCGGGGAGGGTAGCCAGGTGCTAGAGAATCCAGATGTGACCCTGCCTAGAAAATTCCTTCAGGAATTCCCAAACATATGGGGGTCAGGGGGCTCCCCAGTTTGTGGATGGGAGGTACAAGCCAACTTTTTCTAGATCTAAAACTACAGGCTGGCCCTAGACAGCTGGGCTATATATTTATGTTTATAGGTTTGATTTAAACGACATTTTATAGCACTTGCTTTTTAAATCTCTTTTTACTCAGTCCTGGGTCTTATGATCTAGGCTTGTCCGTAAGTATACGTCTCGCTCACTCTTCATGTCTACATGGTAAATTATTGGAAAGGAATTAGCAGTGTATACAGCCACTCCTCTCCTAATGGGCATTTAGGTGATTTCCAAAGCTTCTGTGATAACATCCTCCCTCTATTTATATCTTGACACATATGTTGAGGTGGTCACTTTAAAAACGGGTTTCAGTTTAGAATACAAAAAAATAACCATGCAAACATTACATTGCTGATCTTTCTTCATTCTACCGAGAATCAGTTGTTTGAAAGCAATGCCAGCGTGCCCCAACAAGCCCTTCAAGTTGCAGATGGTGGCGGTGATTTCAGTAAAAATTGCCTGATACACCAGGCTATTGATGACGCCACATCACACCCCACTCCTAGCCTGGGAGAGTTAAAGGAAGGCAGAACTCATCCTTCCCCTGACCTTGAAATTGGAACCGGGCCTGTTTGAGTCTTTTTTTTTTTTCCTTGAAAACGGAGTCTCGCTCTGTTGCTCAGGCTGGAGTGCAGTGGTGTGATCTCAGTTCACTGCAACCTCCGCCTCCCGGGTTCAAGCGATTCTCCTGCCTCAGGCTCCGACATAGCTGGAACTACAGGCACATGCCACCACACCCAGCTAATTTTTTGTATTTTAGTAGAGATGGGGTTTCACTGTGTTGCCCAGGCTGGTCTCGAACTCCTGAGCTCAGGCAATCTGCCCTTCTAGGCCTCCCAAAGTGTTAGGTTTACAGGCGTGAGCCACCGCACCCGGCCGCCTGTTTGAGTCTTTAACACACACTCACTTTACGACCATGACCTGTGACCCCCGCTACTGGGAAGAAGACAACGTCTACTGGAGAAAATGGATTTTGTGTCCCTGAGAAACTTAAGAATTCAGGCAGGACGATGCCATTTGGCTTCATTGTCAATGGCAGGCAGTATCAGAGCTGGAGGCTTCCTTAGGGATTATCTGGTCAGTTGTCTTCATTGTACAGATGGGGAAAACTGAGGCCCATAATCACTTACTTGGTAAAAATAAATAAATAAATAAAAGCCAACATTACTATTTGTATTTTAGATATTTTTGAGTCTAAAATGTAATAGCAACCTGGAGAGGTGGGTATCTTCCTATTCCCACTTTTCAGTAGAGGAAATAGAAGAGGAAGAGAGGAGACTTGAACTCTGGTGGTCTGGAGCCAGAGTGTGCACACTAAATCTCTGTAGAGCCACTGTCTCCTGAACAAAGATGGGTAGGGGATCCGGGGTCTCGGACTCAAAGTTCTCTGCTCTGTCCCTGTCGGGAGACAGCTCTTGGGAGGGAAGCTGACGTGTGGAGGGGCCCTTGGCCACACGTCTCTTTGTCCAAGTGTCTGTCTGTCACAGCTGTGAGCCTGAGGGGACATTCTAGGTGGACGCCGCAAATGAATAATTCAATAAAAGTGAATACTTTCCATGGCAACCCTGCCAGCACGTGACCTGCTCTGCTGCCTCCCAGGGCTGGGTTCACCCTCATAAAGGAACACATTTGTCAGACTACAGAGAGCGGACTGGGATAACATTTTCTCTCAAGGAAACGGAAATAAAACTAGGTCGGGTGATGGCACCAGGGCCAAGGCTGTTGCAGGAGCCTTGTTCAAACATCCTGTCGGCAGGTCGGGGATTTGTGGAAGGCCTAGCACACCTGCAGTGTTGGGAAAAGAACTGCCCTTTGCGGCAGGGGAGAGACAGAAAGCTCAGTCCCCGAGTATCCCTGAATGTGAAACCCTGCAGTATCCCACAGTGTACAAAGGACTCCCAGGCGCCAGGTTGCAGAACTCTTGTCATAGCTATTTGTGGTAAGTAAAGGACACTGGGGCCCAGAAAGTGCCCGTTGGAACTTAGCCTAAAGTGATGTCGCTGGTAAGTGAAAAAACTTGGACTCAGGCCCAAGCGAGGTGGTCTTTTTACTGCGTGGCCCTGACGGTCTCAATAAATCGGCCCACTGAGGCACATGATATGAGAGCTGAGCTGCCGAAGTGGGAGGGCTGAGCTATACCATTCATTTTAAATAAAGGTCCGTTTCTGGGCTGGATTAGGTTGAGGGAAAATCTGGGATTATCTGGGGCTCAGCCTGGGACAGGGGTTGGAACTGTCTGCAGTAAATGCACCTTTGGGGGCAGAGTTGAGGGATGAGGCTGACAGGAGCATTGGGCTAAGCCTGGGACGGGACTGAGACTCAAAGGTCAAGGTCAAGGCCAGGGTCGGGTTGGGCCTGGGACTGGTAGGGTCAGGCTCAGCCTGTCTAGGGCATCAGAATCTTCTCTATGTAGAACCTGCTGGAAGTGCCTGAATCACTTCGCTGTGGAGTGAGACAGGATGAAGGCCTGAAGGGCTCGCCAGGGAGACGTGCTACCAGGTGCGAGGGATAGAACAAGGACATGCTGGAGTCCTGGAGGGGGCTTCTGAGAGTCGGGGGAGAGCAGAAATACACTCCATACCCGGAACTGCAAGGCGGAGGTGGTCATAAGCTAAGATGGAGTCAGGAATAAGGGCGGCAGGAGCCGCATGGGAATGAGGACAGAAGTTCATATGAATGTATCCAAAGGGCTTCAAGAGACAGCGGTGCAAGGGCAGGTGAGAGACAGTCAGAAAGACCTGGTCTGGAGACCTCTTTAGACCTGAGCTTTACTCTGGTCCCACAGGGTCAGAGGGAAAGAACTTCAGAAGCCATTGCCCTGAGCTTCCCATCTCTGAGGCTAGGAGCACTTACCTCTCCCGCACTTGCACTCACTGAGCTCAATTCCTTTTGGGGTTCCCCAAACCTTCCCCACTCACTCAACCCCACACCCCAGCACCACCTAGATCCCCGATGCTGCCCACGATGCCCGTTCTACTAGTTCTGCTCTTCTCAATGAAGCACCCACTCCTCTCCAAAAGTCTTCATTTTATTCCTGGGGCTTCTCTCCTCTTTGCTAGACCTGTTGAAGCGTGGGTGTGTGGGACCCTGATCAGAGAATGAGGCAAACCTTCCCCTGTTCGCCTTGGCTCCTTATGAACTGCAAGGTAGCGGTGGAGTTTGTAGTTTCCTTTGAGTTTTGCAATGACCAGATCTGGATTTAGGGTTTGGTTCTGCCTCCCAAATGCTGCAGGGCTGTTGCCTTGGGGGACATTGATGCAAATTAAAAACAAAAAACAAAACAGGACATCAACACCTTTTCTTCAAGGTAAAAGAAAGTGGGGATGGGGTAAAACAATTTATTTATTTATTTATTTATTTAGAGACGGAGGTTTTGCTCTTTTCCCCCAGGTTGGAAGGCAATGGTGTGATCTCGGCTTACTGCAACCTCTGTCTCCCGGGTTCAAGTGATTCTCCTGTCTCAGCCTTCCGAATAGCTGGGATTACAGGCGTGTGCCACCATACCCGGCTACTTTTGTATTTTTTAGGAGAGACGAGGTTTCGCCATGTTGGCCACGCTGGTCTCAAACTCCTGACTTCAGGCGATCCACCATCCTTGGCCTCCCAAAGTGCTGGGAGTACAGGCGTGAGCCACCACGCCCAGCCGGGATAAAACAATTTAAAGCATACCCAGAAGCGCATTATGTGGCAGGGAAGGGGGAAGAGGGAGGCGGCCTCTCTGGTTGTGTCAGATAACTGACCACAGATGGCCCCACAAGATGCCCCCACCTGTGTAAAGGACAAGGAGGCAAGAGGAAGCGGGGGGCAGGGGGACAGGAGCAAGGGCCCTGGGACCTGGGGTTTCATTAGAAGCATCCCACTTAAATTCACATGAACCATGTTCCCTTAATTCAGACTTATTTTTGTACCTGTAGACAGAGCACAGGCACCTGTGTTGGACGCCTCTTTTGCACCCCTTTCAGGCCCTCTGGGCCTTACCTGTCTGTCCTTATTCCAGCCTCTGCTCTGATGGGCAGCTCCTTGGGGGCCCTGGCCGGCGGTGCAGCCTAGTGGCACCCACTGGTCTCATCTCCTCCTCCAGGTGGGAGACCCCCAGCATCCACTTGGGCACAATCCACAGCTGTGGGAGTATGGATGCCCCAGGGGGTGAACCTTTGACCAACAGGGGATAGGAGCCGTGGAAAGATACTTCCTCCTTCCCCACTGCCCACTCTTCCCCAGAGGCAGTTCTGAGATGGAAACATTTCATACAGCTTCTTGGTGGCCCCAGAGAATCAAGCAACCAGTCTCCCATAAGAGCGGCCAAGCAGAAAATGCATCCTTATCTTGGCTCTCCTCTCCCTCCCCTCTTCACTCCATGGTAGGCTGAATAATGGCCCCCAAACAGATCCAGGTCCTAACTCCTGATACTGTGATTGTTACCTACTGGCAAGGGGGGTTTCAGTCACATTTTGCAGATGCAATTGTATTAAGAATCTTGATGGAGAGATCATCCCAGCTTAGCTGGTAGGCTCTAAGTATAATCACAGGTGTCATAAGAGGAAGGCAGGGAAAATGCAATTACAGAAGAAGGCAATGTGAGGATGGAGTAAGATCCAGTGCCATTGACTTTGAAGATGCAGAAAGGGGCCACATACCAAGAAATGCAATTATAGGAATGCAGCTCCAGAAGCTGGAAATGGCAAGGAAGTGGATTCTCCCCCATAGTCTCCAGAGAGAGCAAGACCCTGCTGACACCTTGATTTCAACCCACTGCAACTCATTTGGCATGTGTGACCACCAGTAAACTGTAAAAGAACAAGTGTGTGTTTCTCTAAGCCACCAAGTTTCTAGTAATTTGTTACAGCAGCCACAGGAAGCTCATCCGGCTCCCCGTCCCTCACTTCTGCTCCCTAGGCTCACACTGTTTGTGAGATGCTCACACATAAGCTTCTCCTTTGGCTCTGCTGTTTGGGGAACTCAGGGTAAGATAGCATCTGATTAGGAATCAGGCCCCAGCTTTGTGTATACAGATAGCCCGGTTCTCTCAGGCCCCCACTGACACCAACGTGCACCTGCCCTATCCTTCCCCAAAAGGCAATCGTAGCCAACTCCAAGTCTGGTATAGGATGTGAATGGGGCCACCAAGAGCTACAGCAATGAGAGAAGCAACCTCAGAAGATGACTGGGGCACAATAAGAACCTGGTACAACTACATGCCCGTGTGCATCAATGAGTGTGTGACTCCTGCACTCCTGAGTGGAAGCCTTATCATGGTGTCGGGGTGGGTTTATAAAGGACCAGTTGCTCTAGGACATGCCTCAGAGGCCTAGAAGCTCTGTGCTCACTGTGTGCTGTAATACAAATTAGTATTTTTCTACAATGTAAATGTCACCTTCTTAGGTGGCGTTTCCTCATGCAGTGCACAACCTGAACAACCATACAGGACACCCCTGATGAGATGCTTGGCCTTGGGCAAATTATCTTACTTCATTAAGCTTCTCTTTCTTCTATAAAATGGGAATAATCAGAACACTCCCCTCAGAGCGGTATCCTGAGGATTTGATAATTCACGTCGCCCTGGAATAAATGCTTAAGGAATAGTAATGGTGGGAGTGTAAAGTAGTTCAACCATTGTGGAAGACAGTGTGGCGATTCCTCAAGAACCAGAAATACCATTTGACCCAGCAATTCCATTACTGGGTAGATACCCAAAGGCTTATAAATCACTCTACTATAAAGACACATGCACACATATGTTTATTGCAGCACTGTTCACAATAGCAAAGACTTGGAACTAACCAAAATGCCCATCAATGATAGACTGGATGAAGAAAATGCGGCACATATACACCATGGAATACTACACAGCCATAAAAGGAGAATGAGTTCATGTCCTTTGCAGGCACATGGATGAAGCTGAAACCATCATTCTCAGCAAACTAACACAAGAACAGAAAACCAAACACCGCATGTTCTCACTCATAAAGGGGAGTTGAACAGTGAGAACACATGGATACAGGGAGGGGAATATCACACACTGGGTTCTGTTGTGGGGTGGGGGACTAGGGGAGGGATAGCATTAGGAGAAATACCTAATGTAGATGATGGGTTGATGGGTGCAGCAAATCACCATGGCACATGTATACCTATGTAACAAACCTGCACGTTCTGCATGTGTATCCCAGAACTTAAAGTATAATTTAAAAAGAAAGAAAGAAATAGTAATGGCCTGTTGCTGCTATTCCTATTATTTTCATAAAGGTGGTATAGGCACCTTCAGGGAACCATGCTTTTCAACATTACTGCCAAATGCCTGATCTCTTTGGTGAGATGTACTCCCTTAATATCAGCTGTTGGTGGGACATTATGAGCCTAATGTTTCTTCCTCCTTCCAAGATGAAGATGCAAACTTGGAACTTTACTGAGGTGACCACAACAGGCAACCAATTCTGGGAACAGAAGGGCAGCAGGCAGTCTTTGGAGAGCAAGGTGAGAAGTACCAGGCAGGTGAAAGAGCACCAGGAGGCTCACCACCAGCTATAAGCACTGTGTCTTTGTTGGTCCTCTAGAAAGATAAGAGGTGAGAGCCTCAGAGGGGTGGGTGGCTGGCCCACGGTCACGCACACAGCTGGCAAGTGGCAGAACCAGGACTCAAACTGAGACCTCCTGACTCCAAGGCCTTAGCCCTTTCCTCTGGTAGCTGAGGCAATCGAAGTATAAGAGAAGGAAAAGGAGGAGGATTATCGTCCTGCAAGCCGCCTCCTCCGTGGAGGAGCTCTCACTTCACCCTTTGGACGACAGCCACCAATGAATAAAATGAAGTGACAGTCTGTGAGTGCGGTCTCTCTTTTTCCAATTCAGCTACATCTGCCAACAGCAAATACCATCATTTCAGGCCGTGGGAGAGCTGCAGCTTTCGGGAACCTTTGTCACGCCAATGTAAATCTCACAATTTCCTTCTGCCCTCGCAAAGACATTCCTTTAAATTACATTACACACACCCCAACTCCCTCCCTCGTCCTGGCCATGTATGTTTTACTTGATGGCGGCCGTCAAACACATCCTGATTTGATTTGGGGTCTTTGCAGCCATGAAGATTAGGTGTTTTGCTTTTGCATCCCTTTATGGGTCAGCTCCCCAGGCGGAGGGAATAATGGTGAGAATCATAACAGCTGACACTGACTACATGCTGACTCTCTGGCCAGCACTCTGCTAATCTTTTTGCATCTAATATTTTATTTAATGCCTATAATCACTAGATGAGTTTGATATTATTATTAGTCCCACATAATAGGTATCTTTTTATTTTTTATTTTACTTTAAGTTCTGAGATACATGTGCTGAATGTGCAGGTTTGTTACATAGGTATACATGTGCCATGGTGGTTTGCTGCACCCATCAACCCATCATTAGGTATTTGTCCTAATGCTCTCCCTCCCCTTGCCCCCACCCCCAGACAGGCCCCGGTGTGTGATGTTCCCCTCTCTGTGTCCATGTGTGCTCATTGTCCAACTCCCATTTATGAGTGAGAACATGCGGTGTTTGGTTTTCTGTTCCTGTGTTACTTTGCTGAGGATGATGGTTTCCAGCTTCACCCATGTGCCTGCAAAGGACGTGAACTCATTCTTTTTTATGGCTGCATAGTATTCCGTGGTGTATATGTGCCACATTTTCTTTAACCAGTCGATCATTTATGGGCTTTTTGGCTGGTTCCAAGTCTTTGCTATTGTGAATAGTGCTGCAATAAACGTATGTGTGCATGTGTCTTTATAGTAGAATGATTTGTAATCCTTCGGGTATATATCCAGCAATGGTATTGCTGGGTCAAATAGTATTCCTGGTTCTAGATCCTTGAGGAATCACCACACTGTCTTCCACAATGATTGAACTAATTTACACTCCCAGCAACAGTGTAAAAGCGTTCCTATTTCTCCACATCCTTGCTAGCATCTGTTGTTTCCAGACTTTTTAATGATCACCATTCTAACTGGCGTGAGATGGTATCTCATTGTGGTTTTGATTTGCATTTTTCTAACTACCAGGGATGATGAGCTTTTTTTCATATGTTTGTTGGCTGCATGAATATCTTCTTTTGAGAAGTGTCTGTTCGTATACATTGCCCACTTTTTGATGGGGTTGTTTTTTCTTGTAAGTTTGTTTAAGTTCCTTGTAGATTCTGGATGTTAGACCTTTGTCAGATGGATAGATTGCAAAAATTTTCTCTGAAGGCTCAGAAACGTCAAATAATAGAGCCAGAACTTTACCAGCTGTGTCCCCAGCACTGACGTCCCTTCACTCAGTGTGCTGAGTCCTTGGGGACTGGGGATAGCTCAGCCCTTTGTGAACAGTCATCTGCCTGACAGTTCCACAACTTCTGGCATGAAAACCGGATCTGCTTCCAAGACCCAGCTGCAAGCCAGGCTGCTCAGTAAAGAGACTTCCATCCTAAAGGCCTGGCTTTGCGAGGCCAAGGGCAGTGGTTCTCAACGGAAGGCAATTTTGCCCCCCGTAGGACATTGGCAATGTCTACAGACCAATTGTCAAGACTCAGGAGGAGGGATTGCTACTGACATCAAATGAGTAGGGGCCAGGAATGCTAAATCTTCAGAGCCCAGGACAGCCCCGGAAACCAAGAATTATCAGTTCCAAAACATCATTAGTGTTGAAATTGGGAAGCCCTGGACTAAGGGGAATGAATGGGCCATAGCATATGATTAGGAGAATCATGGCAAGCAAATATTCTGCAGATGTATGGTTATACAAAATGCTTTTCTAGTGCTTCCTGTGTTCAAAGTCGGGTTCTCAGCACTTTTCATACCTTCACTCATCCACTCCTTTCAATTCCAAAATAAATTTGCAGAGAAAGGACTCTTTTTGGCAGCCCTATTTTATAGAGGAAGAAACTAAGGCTTGAAAGATTAAGCAATTGGCCCCAAAACACACAGTTCACGAATGGCAGAGCTGGGATTAGAACCCAGGCAGCCTAGCTCCAGTATGTAGCTGTCAGCTCTTCCCTGCACTGTCTTTAAGAGCTCAGACTTTGAAGCCACTCCAATCAAGTTCAAGACCTGGCTCTGACACTTATTATCAGTATGACTGTGAGAAATTGCCCAACTGTTCTGAGATTCAGCTTCCTCAACTATGTATGAAGGATTCTGTATTGGTTTTCTATGGCTCCCATACAAATTACCACAAACATGGTGGCTTAGGGCAACAACAATTTACTCTCATGGTTCTGGAAGCCAGAAGTCCAGAAGTCCAAAACCAAGGTGTCTTCAGGGCCACATTCCTTCTGGAGGCTCTAGAGAAGGGTTCATTCCTGGCCTCTTCCAGCTTCTGACGCTTCAGGTGTTCCTTGGCTTATAGCTGCATAACTCCATCTCTACCTTTGTCTTTACAGGGACTTCTTCTCTGTGTGCTGGTGTCTTCTCTTCTTCTGTCTCCTATAAGGACACTTGTCATTGGGTTTAGGGGCTAATCCAGGAGGATCTCATATTAAGTTGAGATCCTTAATTTCATTGTATCCACTAAGACTTTTTTTTTTTTTTTTTTTGCCAAATAAGATCATGTTCACATGTTCTAGGGGTTAGGATGTAGACAAATCTTTCTAGGGATCACCATTCAGCCCACTACAGATACTAATGCCAACATCGCTGAATGAGATTATAAATGTAAAAGAACCGGCCAGGCACGGTGGCTCATGCCTGTAATCCCAGCACTTTGGGAGGCGGAGGTGGGTGGATCACGAGGTCAGGAGATGGAGACCATCCTGGCCAACATGGTGAAACCCTGTCTCTACTAAAAGAACAAAACTTAGGTGGGGATGGCGGTGGACGCCTGTAGTTCCAGCTACTCAGGAGGCTGAGGCAGGAGAATCGCTTGAACCTGGGAGGCAGAGGTTGCAGTGAGCCAAGATCACGCCACTGCACTCCAGCCTGGGTGACAGAGCAAGACTCTGTCAAAAACAAAAACAAAAACAAACATGATATGTTCTCAGTAAATCTTAGATGATTCCAGGAGGCATGTGATAGGGATGTGCAGATGAAATTGCGTGAATGGTATGGCTCCACCTCATCTTGGTGGAATGATAGAATGCCTCATGGTTTTTTTCAGTGCTTTGGGTCCTGATGATTTGGTTCTGTTTATGGTTGCTTGCTTCAGGCTGAGCATCTGAGGCTAGGAGCTGGCATGGTTTCCTTATCTTTGTGCTGGCCCTGCTTCCTCCCTCCTGCCTACCCATGTTTGTCCTGAAACCCCAGTAGGCACACGGTCTTCTCAGAGCCTGAAGTCGCCCAGTCTGCCTTTGGGGAGGCAGGTTTTCAGGCCTGCCTTTCAATACCATCTTTGAGAGCTGTAGTCATCAAGGCGTTTGCTCAACAATCCAACTCTCTTCCTCTGCTTCTGAGCACATGAGAGGGTCACACCCCCTGATTCCTTTTGATTGGGTGCAGCTGTGTGACTGGTTCCAGCCAATGAGTTTGAACAGACATGACAGGCTTCAGTTTGAGGCTGGAATGTGCAGATGCTGGTGTAAGCACCTCAAGAGCTGTCTTTCAAACATGCAGTGATCCAGAAAGTGGCTGGCCCATGAGCTTGAGTCTCAAGGGAAGAGGGTGTGGAGCAAGATGGGTCCCCATAGACAGGGTGCATGAATGAGATGGGCACCTCGGTGTTTCTAAGCCACTGAGATTTCCAGGATGCATAACCTCACCTCTCCAGACTGAGACTCCGAGGAAGAGAGAGAAGCAGAGACTGGAAGGTGCCTCAGGAGGCAGCTCAGGGGAAACGCTGGCCATGCTAGAGACTCTGAATAAGGTGCGATTCTTAGAGAACATGCCATGCTCTGATCTGCTCTGGGGTCTTGGTGATTCATGGATTCACAGCCCATGAGCACAATGGAAACCTCTCCTCTGGGTCAGGGTTAGTCACATGGAACCTCAGGAAGGCAATAATGCAAAACCTGCACTAGCAATGGATCCCAGGCTCAAGGAATTGTGGACTTGATTTTGACTCTTTAGGTTTCCAAAGTAATCTCTCCAAAAGCAATGTTGGTTTCCTGGATTCAATTGTGCAACAGAAGAGGACATGCGTGGAGACATAGGGGAAACCCAAATAAAAGTCTGTAGTTTAGTTGATAGCATTGTGCCCGTGTTAATACCTCGGTTTTGACAAATGGACCCAGATTATGCAAGAAATTATTAACATTAGAAAAGCTTGGTGAAGCTATGCTAACTTTCAACTCTTCTGTAAATCTAAAATTATATCAAAACAAAAAGTTTTGAATATAATTTCTCACTGCTTAATTGACATGGAGTTTCCTTTTGGGATGATGAAAGTGTTTTAAAACTAGATAGAGGTGTTGGTTGCATAATATTGTGAAAGGTACTAAACGCCAGTGAATTATACACTTTAAAATGGTTGATTTTAAGTTATGTGAATATTTTCTCCATTTAAAAAAAATTATAAGGAGAAAAAAGAACAAAACCAAAAATCTCTCATGGCCACAGTAGAGCAGCAAATAATACCACAGGTGCTTGTGGTCTGCAAGAGTCTCAGACTTAATGGCAGCTCCAAACTTCCCTCTTTTTCGTTACCTACTTTGCTCTGTTTCCCAAATGCCTCCTCCCTCCCTCTCTCCACACCCACTTCTAATTCATGGTCCAGAAGCCTTCCCAAACCACCTCCTCCTCAGTTCCTCTCCCTCCCAGCCCATCCCACCTGCTGTGTCTATCAGTTCTTCCCACAAAGTATGGGGAAATGGTGGCAATGACTCCACTCACCATGTCCCAGGCATTATGCTAAGCACTTTACATCTATCAGTTGATCCTTGTGAACAACCTGTGAATTAAATGCCATTATTACTCCTATTTTATAGGTATAAACAGAGGGTTGGTCAAGAGGAAGGTCAAGCTGCTCCAGGTCATCTAGATGATGAGTAGTAGCAGTGGGATTTGAATACGCATCATCTCTCTCCAGCGTCTGGGGGGTGAAATTCTGGTAAATTCCATAGAAACAAAAATCCTCTGCCTAAAATGGTGCAGTTGGGGTCAACCAATGAGAGTTTCTCCCATTCTCTACTTCATTCATTCATCAAACATTTCTGGAATGAGTACTGTGTTCCAGGCACTGCACTAGGCTCTGGGATTCCAGCATGAACATGAACTTGTCCTTGACCTTGTTGAACTTACAGTCAAGTGGGAGAGGCTGGCAGTAAGTAAACAAAACACATGCACATATAATGTAAGTTGAAGGCAGAAATCTGGTGCTACGGCGGAAAATGAAGGACAGGTCCTAATTTAGGTTGGGAGACCCTGGCTGAGGAAGAGAAATGTCAGTCAGCCACATGAAGAATGGGTGGTGAGTGGACAGGGGGAATCTCAAGAAAGAGGACAGCCTGTG
The DNA here is from genome assembly GCF_000001405.40 of Homo sapiens. NCBI lineage: Eukaryota > Metazoa > Chordata > Mammalia > Primates > Hominidae > Homo > Homo sapiens. Next base: position 6,149,588 of record NC_000017.11, on the reverse strand, counting down.
AAAAGGCCCTGAGGTTGGCATGGGCTTGGCTCTTTTGAGGACCTGGGTGAGTGGTATGGCAAGACCCGGAAAGTTCCAGAACAAGAAAGGCAAGATAGCGTTGACAAGATAGGTGGGAGGACCTTCTGGGAGGCTGAGGGGAGGCACTGGAATACTCTGTCTCTGCAGTGGGTTCTGGTCTGAGGGGAGTTTGGAAAGGTGAGGCTGGACAAACTTGGAAAATGCCCAAAGGCAAGGCAATGGATGAGGTTCATCCCCCTGGAAGGTGGTGACTGCTCTGCCCCATCACCACATGGAGGGGCTCAGAACAGAGCACAGAAGAAAGATGTTTACAATGGAAGCCTCCGTAGAAGAATATAGAGGAGGAACGGAGGAATGGAAGACCAAGAGGCCATCTTGGCATCTTCCCCCATCAGGTGGGATGGGCTGGGAAGGAGAGGAACCAGGGAGGAGGTGGTTTGAGAGGGCTTCTGGACCATGAATTAGAAGTGGGCATGGCGAGAGGGAGGGAGGAAGCATTTGGGAAACAGAGCAAAGCACTGGTGGTGTCATCATGGAGATGCGGTCTAGGAGGAGGAGCAGGTTTTTGAGAAGAAAGGGGATGTGGGACATCCAGACTCTGGGATCCCAGTGAGACACCTGTTTCTGCAGGTCGCTGGGAACATGAGATTGGAGTTAGAGAAGGAGGCTGGGGGTGGCAAGAGGATAGAGAAGTCAGCAGCCTGAAATGATGGCCAAGTCCATGAGAATGGGTGTATGTAGTAAGCGGGAGTTTAGAGAAGGGAGGGAGAAGCTATGAGAATAGAAATATGGAAGAAGAGAAGCTGGTGCAGGGAGCAGAGGCAGCCCATGAAGAGAGGTGGGGCAAGGACCAGACCTTAGTGACCTAGAATCAAAAAGCACTGGGGGCAATTGGTGCTCTCAACCATTGCTGAAGTGTGGGGATGGATGAGAGCACAGAAAAGGCAATTCACCCTGCTAATTGGATATTGGAGCAAGATAGAGAAAGCAATTTAAGTGCAGTGGTGGGGGTGGAACCGAGATTTTGAGGAATGGAGGAGTAAATTGGGTGAGAGGAAGTGGAGGCAGTGAAGGCAGGGGGATGGGAGTTGGTTGAGGAAGGATTCCTTCAGGACAGGGGAAATCTGAGTGCTGGGAAGCAGCCAGGGGCAAGGACTAGAGCAAGCATGAAGATAAACAAGGGAAGAGACTGCAGAGCAGACAGGAGGGCAGGACGTGTAGGGGGCCAGTGGAGGGTCTAGACACATTGGGGGTCTAGACACATTGGGAGGCTAGACACTTTGTGGGGGGCAGTACTGAGTGAATGTTTATCCAAGAATCAAGGGCTTTGGGGTCAAGTAGGGCATCTGGTTGGGAGCTGGACATCTCAGTGGGAGGAGTGAGAGGCTTGCTCAGTCAGCAGGTGGGCAGGTTTGAGGACTGTCCTCAGCACTGTTTTGTCAATGAGGTATGTTTCAGAGGAGGCAGACAGTGGAGATTCTGGAAAGTGCAGTGTCTGAGGTTGTAACTGTCATAAACCGAGCAAGCCTGGCTTTGAGTATCTCCAGTCCTCAGGGAGCCGCAGGATCAACCAGATGCTAGATCCCAGACCCTTACCTTCCTAAAAGGCCAAGGACTAGAAGCCCAGAATAAAAAGAAATGGGGAGGGTTGGGAAAACCCTAATTTAGGATTTGCTAAATTAGGCCCTGTGCTAAATATTTCATGTAAGTCATCTCATGTAATCCTTATAATATCTTTGCGAGGAAGATGGGAAGGAGTATTAGTGAGATCAAACGGCTGAGCTGGGATTCACACCCAAGGAAGGCAGAACCCAAACTCATGCTTGCTCCTCATGCAAGCTGCCTCCAGGTCACAGAGAGCTCCAGCTAAAAGAGTATTTTAGCGATGCCTGGTCACCTGGGAGTCTGGGTATCTAAAATGATGTGAAGGGAAATAAGGTGAGTTCTCTGAGGCTGGAAAGGGCTGACTTCCTACTCAGATGATCAGAATGATAAATAAGCTCATCTCACTTTTACTGTTCTGCCTCTGGCTGCCAGAGACCTATCATCTTGGGGGAAACTGAGGCAGCATAGCCCTTGGTCCTTACATCACAATGCAAAGTTCTTGGAACATGATCAAGCTTGCCATGCTGGCCAGACAGTGGTCCCCTTCTCTCCTGGCTCAGGAGCCTGATAGACCCAGGAAGAAGAGGGTGAAGCCTGACTTCCAGGCGAGTCAGCAAAGAGGAGTCAGTCCCCTTCCGATGGATGGCATTAAACAATGACAGCCTCATCTTCTAATCACATTACCTCACCGCAGGGGGTGTTTCCAGGCCCATTATCACATGGCGTGGTTGGCTGGATCTCCATTTGTCACAGCAAACGTCAGGCATGTGGTAATGGTCCTGTAAAACATGCCTTGTTGGGTCTTAATGTCTATTTAATGACACCTGCTATGAAGGCTCCCATAACTGAACTCATAATGGGAAATGAGGGGAAATTAGATTTTGGAGAAGGAGAGTTCTCTGAACGACAGGCTGCGTCTCCCCAGGAGAGGCTGTACTAGGTTGGCTGGGGGTGGCTGGTATGAAATTATAGAATTTAATTGCAGGAGACTCTCTAAGGGATGGGCTAGCCAAAAGTCCTCTATGTTCTAATGGAGATGGGCAGGCTGAGGCCCCGAGGAAATGGGGGACATAAATGGTTCCAGTGGGGAAAGATGGAATACCAAGCTTGATTTGCATTTCTTTTACTGGCCATTCATCTGTGCTCAAAACAAATACCAACGACTTCATTTCCTAATTTGGGGTAGAAAAGAAAAACTGAAGCTTGGTGGTAGTGGGAAATATCAAGGTAGAGGAATTTATTTATCTCCTTCTCAAGAGTTGGAAATCTTCTAATCCTTCTTCCATCAATCCCTCTCTTACTCTTTCTCATCTCTTGGCCTCAATGAGAGAGGGTAGGGAGAGGCAGAGAGAGTCCTAAAGAAGAAGAAAGTTTTGGAAAGGAGAGAGAGTGATTTCATTTCCCTTCCATGTGAAAATCTTATTCTGGGAATGGTGGCAGCCCTCAGAACACTTGATCTCATTCATTCTCCATACACTGAGCTAAAGGCTGAGCTGCTTACTATGGCAGAAAGTATTTTCCAAAGAGAATTGCAACAATAGCTTCCATCCCACCTGCTCTTCTGTCATGTGACCCCATCAAGAGGTGGAGTCTATTCCTCCCCACTCCTTGATTCTGTGTTGGCCTTTGATTCATTTGCCATCAATAGGATATGGTTGGATATAACACTGCATGGCTCCTGAGGCTGGATCTGAGAAGACCATGCAGCTTTCACCTGGTTCTCTTTTAACACTTGCTCTGGACACGTGCTCTGCCAGCTACCTTAGGAAATCTGACTAGAGAGGCTGCTCAGAGATGCTCCAATGAACAGCATCTCCTGAGCCCCCTGGTGACAGCGAGCACTCACTGCCTGCCGCCATAGGCAGGAGCTATCTGGGACTTTCCAGCCCAGTCGGGCCTTCAGATGACTGCAGCCCCAGCTGATGTGTGACTGCAAACTGTATGGGACAATGCTCAGCTGAGCCCTTTCTGAATTCTTCTTTTTTTTTTTTTTTTTTTGAGATGGAGTTTTGCTCTTGTTGCCCAGGCTGGAGTGCAATGGCACAATCTCAGCTCACTGCAACCTCTGCCTCCCAGGTTCAAGCAATTCCCCTGCCTCAGCCTCCCAAGTAGCTTGGATTACAGGCATGCGCCACCACACCCAGCTAATTTTTTGTGTCTAGTAGAGACAGGGTTTCACCGTGTTGGTCAGGCTGGTCTCAAACTCCTCACCTCAGGAGATCCACCCATTTTGGCCTCCCAAAGTGCTGGGATTACAGGCGTGAGCCACCATGCCCGGCTCCTTTCTGAATTCTTGACCCACATAATTGTGAGCAAAATAAAATAATTGTTTTTTAAAGTCTGTAGGTTTGGGGGTAATTTATTATACAACAGTAAATGGAAAACTTTCAGTCATGAATCAGATTTAGCCTTTGCCCTCAGAAGATTCACAATTTAATCAGAGATTGAAAACTCTTTAACCACTGCTCAAACTAGGACATGGTGGGTGCCGCAACATGAAAGCATACCCAGGAGTTGGCCAGACAGCCAGGGAAGGAGGATATTCAGTGAGGAAGGGCTGGCATGTAGAAAGGCAAGAAAGTATCATGAGATGCTAAGTAAGTGCCATCCTGATGCCTGCTTGGGGAGTCCTGTGTCTCTCTCATGTATAGAGCAGTATGCAAGGGTGTATTCAGAACCACTGGCTCAATGTGGCATGTCTTCCTAGAACATGAGTTAAGCCCATTAGGACGTTAAAACTGTTTCATATTAAAACCAGCAAGAATATATTACAAAATAAACACAAAACATGACATCATTTTTTGGAATTGAATTAGAGAAGTTCAAATACATTTTCAGGCCTTGCCACAGCTTCCTTGGAGGTACAGGTTTGTCGCTTATGGCCCTTTGATGGAAACATTGAGAACCTCTGTGTAGGTGAGGGATCTCTCTCAGGAGGTTTTCATCTGGGAGTGTGATAAGATCAGGTCTGTTTTAGGAAGATTTCCCTGGAAACAAGAATGGAAGATGGTCTGGGCTAGACTGCAGGTAGAAGGTCTGCTCAGAGCCTGTTGAGCCATCCCAGGTAGAGGTTCCATGGAATGAGAGAACCGTGGAAAAAAAAAAGAGGGAACAATGCCAACAATTAGAATTGGCAGCATCCCCACCCGACCTTCCAGGTCTCTGCTTGGATGTCTCTTTCTCCAAGAAGTTTCCATCTGGTATGGATTAGAACCTCTCCGGCCAGGCACGGTGGCTCATGCCTGTAATCCCAACACTTTGGGAGGCCGAGGTGGGCAGATCGCGAGGTCCGGAGTTCGAGACCAGCCTGACCAACTTAGTGAAACCTGTCTCTGCTAAAAACACAAAAATTAGCCAGACATGGTGGTGTGCACCTGTAGTCCCAGCTACTCGGGAGGCTGAGGCAGGAGAATCGCTTGAACCCGGGAGGCAGAGTTTGTGGTGAGCCAAGATCACGCCACTGCACTCCAGCCTGGGCAACAGACCAAGACTCCGTCTCAAAAATAAATAAATAAAATAAATAAATAACCTCTCCTGTGTGGTCCGACAGTTCCTTGTTTTCCCCATTCACGCTGCATGGCCACAAAATCAGCATTACCAATGGCATTTATTAAATTCTTTCTGAATACCAGGCACCTTACTTATTGTCAGTTGGGAATAGGTTCAACTGCATAGTACAGAACCACCCTCACTCCCCCTGCCGAAGAGTGGCTTAAGCAAGAAAGTGGCTGAAGCAAAAACTCTTCCTCCCCTGACAAGGAGTCTGGAAGTCAGTAGAACAGAGTTTATTCAGGTGCGCAAGGATGTCATTTGGAAGCCAAGTTCGTTCCAGCTTCCTGCTCCATCATCCCAAGCATGTGGTTTCTCCCTCATGGTCTGAAGTTGGCTGGCTCTTCCATTATATTTTTTCTGGCAAGTATTTTAAAGAAGTGAAGCTTTGTTCTTTTATTCAGGAAGGGATGCCTTAACCAAGAGTTCCATCTACTTCTTTTTTTTTTTTTTTTTTTTGAGATGGAGTTTCGCTCTTGTCACCCAGTCTGGAATGCAATGGCGTGACCTCGGCTCACTGCAACCTCTGCCTTCCGGGTTCAAGCAATTCTCCTGCCTCAGCCTCCCAAGTAGCTGGGATCCCAGCTAATTTTTTTTTCTTTTTTTTTTTTTTGGATTTTTAGTAGAGACAGGGTTTCACCACGTTGGCCAGGCTGGTCTCGAACTCCTGACCTCAAGTGATCTGCCCGCCTCAGTCTCCCAAAATGCTGGAATTACAGGAGTGAGCCACGGTGCCTGGCCAGTTCCATCTACTTCTCATTGACCAGAACTGAGACATGTGGCCATCCATCGCAGCAGGGGAGTCTAGGAAGGTGAGCACTTTCCCAGGGTGCATTGCCAGCCCAGTGGAATCCATGGATATTGGGTAGGCAACTAGCTGTGTCTGCCGTGACATGTATTAATGTATTTAATTCTCACAACAGTCCTAGGCTGTAGCTATTATTATTAATGTAATTTTGTGGATGACGGACTTGAGAAACAGGGAAGTTAAGTACTTATTTTTTTAAGATTACATAGTAGATGGAGGAGCTAGAGATGGATGGCATGTTTATCTTTATTTTTTATGAGACCGTAAGCAACCTGAGGGCAGGACCGTGTATTTATTGTTTTACTTCTGTCCCTGTACCCCTGTTCCCTGGCGTAGTATGGTTAATTGGCTTGATGGCTGCTTGGATGCTTTATTGATAGCCTAACAAAAATCTGAACCCATCCTATAGCTACATCTCATGACAATGGAAGGAGAGGTCAGAAGGAATCTCCACCCTGGCATGCCATTCCTCTTGGCCAAAGACAGCTTGGACTTGTTCAGCTCAGACTAAGTTCTGCTGACGGCCAGCCCAGCTATGCTTGGCTGAGCACACCAGGACTTAACAAGGTCTGAATTGTTTCAAGGAGTGTTTTTAACAAGTTGTAAATGTATTTCACCAAGTCCCATTGCTGTGTATAATTGATGCAGCTGATGAAAAGCAATCATGATCCCGTGAATCATTTCTGCCTGTTTACAGCATTTCATTCCCCATCTTCCAGAAGGATGCGCAAAGCACGCTTTAAAAGAAAACGTATTTGATATTGACATATGGTAAGACTGTCTTGCATCCCGCTTCTTCACTGGCTCATGTGATATGTGAAATAGAAAAAGGCAAGCTTGTAATTACTATAGATTTTATTTTTAAATACCCACAGATAATTGCCTTTAAGTATAAACAAGGGCATTTTCAAGAATGATGATTTTACCTCCACTTGGTTTGCTTTAGGATAAGAAATACAGCAGGCACCTTGGGATGTAATTATTTACACACACTTCTTTTGCACTCACTTAAAGAGATGGAATGTGTCTTGTTTCAAATTATAGTTACCCATTTTTCCCCCCGAGTGCCCTTCCTAAGGCTTAGTACAAGTAGTCATTTGTTGAATGTTTGAAAAAAATGAATAAATGAAGGAATAAACATTCTGGAAGAAATATTGAAAAATCCTGAAAGGGCAGTCTTCCTTGTTTATAATGATGATTGAGGTTGTCTAACAGTCTCTCTGGAAGATGGGCTTAAAGGAATGGAGTAGAGAATTTGAACTAGCAAGCATGAGTGCTTAGGTCAAAGTCAGGATCAGTACTGATATCATGCTAATGCTGCATAACAAACCAACCCCAAATTCAGTGGCTTAAAATAGTATTTATTTTCATAATCATGGGTTTGCAGGCTGATTACAGTATGGCTGACCTAGACTGGTCTCAGCTGGGTGGCTTTGCTTCAGGCTACAGGTTGACTGGACATGGCTCTAGGATACAGGATAGCTTCAGGTCCATTTTACATGTTTCTTTTGGGGTGCAGTCTGAGGTGGCAGCATCTACCTGGCACCTGAACTTTTCACGGTGGGTCATTGCAGTGCAGAAAGAAAAAAAAAATTGCACCAGAACATTTCAAGCCTCTGATTACATCACATTCACTAACATCTCATTGAACCAAACAAGTCATATTGTCAGCCCAAACAAGTCGTATTTTCAACTCAAAAGTAAAGAAGTGGGGAAGTATACTGTATAGATCATGAGGCCATGGAAACGGCGTACAAGTAAAATTCTATTACAAAGTAGTGAAGAGTTGGAAACAAAAATTCAGTCTATCACTAAGAAACCATAGGGGTAAAGAGGAGGAAACGGATAAGTGAGATGATAAGCAGGAGCTGGAGGTGGAGACAGAAGGGGGAGAATCCGTGCTACATCTAGGTGACTGAGTCGGGGTTTTAATCCCACGAAACAAAGGGCAAGAGCCACCACAGTAGAGTCATCCCAAGGCACTACAAACATCCTGCAATGCAAAAGTGTCACAGTAGCACATAATGTACTCTGTAATCATGCAGAAAGACATAATTTCCTGAGTGCTATTAGGTCTGCTGATGAGAGGAGAGACCACACAAGCTAAGCGGAGGTGTGGGTGGAGGAGGTTGACTAGATCCGTGCACCACCTATGCAACTCCAGCCACCCCAGGCCAGCTCCCTCCTCACCCTACTGCCTTCTGACCTCTGCTCCCTGGCTCTCACCCGGTCATCAGTGATTTCTTCCAGGCTAAATCCAATGGACGCTTACGGGACCTTCTCTTACTTTGATCATCTGTAGCCTGTGACACTGTCAATCATGTCCTCCCTGAAAGTCCCAATCCTCTTGAATTCTGTCTTGTAATTCTTATTTGCATTTTCCTCCTATCTCCCTGAATTTCTTCTCGGTGTCTTTTCGAGGCTCATTCAAATTTTCAAGGAGGAAAATGTTGGCGACTGAGCTAGAGAAAAGAAGCGTTTGGCAGTAAATGGTCCAAAAATATTTTGCTTTGGAAGCAACTAGAGCCTCACACTAACAATGCCTGCTGTAATATGGAATATGGAGAGTGAGCTCGTCTGGGACAAACTGCCATATTTGAAGAGTGACACTCCCATTTGAACAGTGACACTCCCCACCGCCCCATCTCACAATAATAAATGGAGATACAGGCTCAAGCCAGTATTGACCGCATCATCATTTCCACCTCCCTTCTGAGTTTCTGAGGGTAGGCTTTGTGTTAAATCATCTAAGTCTCCTACCCAGCCAGCCCCGGCACAGGACCTGGCAAGCAGTAGGTATGCTGTATTGATTGTGTCCAGTTATATCCAATATATATTATATTGGATTAGTCTCTCTATATAATATTCTACATATATAATATTTATATATTAATGCAAATATTTATATTTATATATTTTCATATTATTCATATCATTGATATATTATTTTATATATTTATGTAATTTTATATTATTTTTAATATATATAATTTAAAATATAAAATAATATAAAATTACATAAAAATATATAAAATAATTTTATAGTTTATGTAAATATTTATATTTATGTAATATTTACATATTTTATTCTTATTTACATATTTTTAATTTTGTATAATTCATATAAAATATTACATATAATATTTATTAATATAATATATTATTATATAATATTTATAATATTGCTATTGATAAATATTAAATATAATATTAATATTAATAAATATTTATTTATTGCATATGCAGAGGGGAGGGGGCACAGCTTTGAGCTGAAAAGTATAAAATGTGCTTCTCCATCTATAACAACCATCCACCTACCTTTCCACTCCATCTCCCCTTACCTTTCACCTGCCGGCACTCCACTATAATCACTGTCAGGTTAATCTAACCAAACATACCTCCGTTGCCTTAGCTCCACCTTCCTTCATCATTCAAAGTTCAGCTCAAATACCACTTCTTCCATGAAGCCTTTCCTGATTTTCCAGGAGGAAGCAACCACTTTGCCTCTGAACACCTTTAGCCCTTTCTCCAAATCTCTTCTGGAGCATGTACTACTACCCACCTTGCATCACCATGGTTTCTGCCTGCTGCTTGGAGACTTCCTCACTTGATGGCCAGTTCCCTGCAGCCGGGAATTTCTTTCAAGTTTTGACTTAACCCCAGTATTGAGCCAATGATTTGAATAGAGCAGGTCCTCAATAAATCAATAAATAGTTGAATAACAAACAAATTGAGGTAGGAGTGGCAATCTGGGGAAAAACAGTTATATGTTCTTAAAAACTCCTATTCCAAGTTTGTAGTTTTGGAAAAAGAAAAGTAAAATCAGTTTTTATTGAATCCATCTCCTCTCTGCAGAATTATTTTGTGGTCTGTTTCATTGGGCCAATTACATTTATGAAGACGAATTACGACAGGCGAGAACCCACTTACATGGATTACTGTGTGCTAACTATGTAATTAGCGGCCGGTGACTAAGAGGGGAGTTTTTGGATATTTCCATAAGAGAAAAACACATTATGATCCATAAAAAACAATGAGCAATGATAATTTCATTTTTATTGGTCATTTAAAAACATTCACTGATAATTCTCCCCATGCTTAATAGGCATACGTTTGCTGCCTTCAAAATATACTCATAAACTTGTCGCAGAAAGCACCGTTACATAATCATTCAGCCTTGCTTCCATTATGAAACCTAAATGAAATACTTTCAAAGATAAAAAGTGTGGAGAGCTTCAAGGGCATTGAAACAGGTGGTAGCAGTTATCCTGAATCAGCAGGGCTTTCCTGGGAACCTGGCATGGGCCAGGCCCAGGACTAACTGCTGCATTGTTCTGGAGCCAAGGGAGTTTCACACCTGAGAGGGTTTATCCTCTGTTTTGCATTTGAATTAGAAAAGAATAAGTCCCTGTAACCAGCATCCCATCCTTTCCATAATCAAGAGGACAGCTGGAAGTCCTTTCAAGGGACCTGGACCCCAAGGCCAGGCCAAAGGCAGGTGCGTAGCAGGTGATAGGAGATCTGAACTACATGAATGAATGATGAAGGCTGGGTGTTGAAATGAATGAATGTTGAAGGCTGGGTGTCCAAAGAATGGTTAGTTGGATGGATGAATGGATGGATGGACTCAGTTGAATTGAATGGAACGTCTGGCATGCTGTCCCTTGAGGTTCTGGCAGAGACTGCACTGGTTCACAGCAAATCTGGAAAGAGAACCAGATTCTCGGGCACCCAGGAGGCAGTGACAGTCTCCAGAGCTGCCTCTCAAATTCAGAAAGGAAAACTCTTTCATGTGTTTTCAAAACCACTGTATAAAATTATTTCAATCTTCCTAACTGGAAATTAAATCCTCCACATGAAAGGCCTTTTTCCTTTCTTTGTGTTCCTTTTGGCCATGCAATTCTGTTCTCTGGCCCCTGACTGACACCTGGCCCCAAAGCCCACTTTCCTATTGTGTACAAGGCCAGAAACCCATTAAGGATGTACATGGAGATTGAGGAGCTAATGTCGGCTCTCAGATCTCAGAAGGAAGAATCCAGCTCCCAGGCCTTTAGGACATGCTGATTTCTTTCCAGAAACAAGATCCATCAATTGACTTGTGCTTTGAAGTGCTTGGAAGCCTGACAAATTTTCTGAGCCTGGTATGTGTGTGTATGCGTTTATGTGTGAGACCAAAAGGGTGTGTGTGCATGTGTGATTGAGTATATGTGTGAATGTGTGTACATATGAGCGTATGTGTTTGTGTGCGTGTGTGAGAAAGTGTGTTCACACGTGTATAAGTGTGTGTTTATGTGTGAGACCAGAAGCATGTGTATGCATGTTTATGTTTGCACATGTGTACGTACATGTATGCATGTGTGCGTATGTACGTGTGAAAGTGTGTTTATATGTGCTGTGCACATGTATATGTGCATGAATGACTCAGCTGCCACTGAGTATCTGTGTTATCTCCAGAATTCTCCCTGTGTGGGGCAAGTGCAGAGGAGGGAGGACAGGGAAAGCTCCAGGGCTTGCCCCCTCCTTCTGAGCACCAGCAAGACAGGTGACCACCAGCAGGCAGGTGGGCCAAGTCCCTGTCTCCATGTTGGCCCTGGCCAAGCCCCAGGTGATGCGGCCCCTCCCTTCTGCACCAGCAACCTCAGTTCTGCCAGCACCTGTGGTTCCCGCAGCTGCAGCCTGGCCTCCAAACGGACGTGGCCTGCTCACCATCTGCCCTTTCTCCTGTTTCCTACATTGCACCTGGCTTTCTTCTGCTCCCCAAACATTTCCAGCCTGTACAGCTCTCTGATACTGGGCAGCAGCCTTAGAACCAATATTTGTCCCAGGAAGATCATGTTGGGAGTATAATGAGCCCAAGCCACTCATCCCTGTTGGCCTGGGCACAGCTCTAAGGTCCTGTCCTCCTGAACGTTAGTCAAAGCATTGTCCTGGACTAAAAAGGATGAGACATTCTCCTCCATATCCCTCAGGAGTAGGTTTGGAATGACACCCATTGGTGAAATGTGTTCATGAGATTTCCCCAACAAGGGGAGGGCAATGATTGGATGATGGAAGAGAATGCTCACTATCATTGCTTGAGTTCTAGGAAATGCCTTGCTTTCATCAATGGAGTGGATGATTTTTCTCTGTTGCCTGACTTTTTTTTCCTTATTACTCATTTGTTCATGAATGCATTTGCTTTTTAATTCAACAAACATTTACTGAGCACCTTTAGAAGCCAGTGGGTCAGAGTGGTTACCTGAGGAACAAGGCAGCCTGGGCTCAAATCCCAGCTTCACCATTTCCACGTGGCCTCTCTGAATCCCCTTTCCTTACCTGTTAAATAGGAGTAAATATAGTACCTGCCTCATAAGATTGTCTGAGGATTAAACAAAGTCATGTTTTAACCCCCCCATAAATATAGCAACTATTACCCTATTACCATTGATGTTGTCATTGCCACTATTCCTTTTTTTTTTTTTTTTTTTTTTTTTTTTTTGAGATGGAGTCTCTCTCTGTCGCCCACTCTGGGGTGCAAAAGCACGATCTCAGCTCACTGCAACCTCCACTGCCCGGATTCAAGCAATTCTCCTGCTTCAGTCTCCCAAGTAGCTGGGATTACAGGTGTGTGCCACCACACCTGGCTAATTTTTTTTGTATTTTTAGTAGAGACAGGATTTCACCATGTTGGCCAGGCTGGTCACAAACTTCTGACCTCAAGTGATCGATCTGCCTGCCTTGGCCTCCCAAAGTGCTGGGATTACAGGTGTGAGCCACTGCACCTGGCCTGTCATTATTACTTTGAGCCAAATAATGAGTTGGTGCTGTAGAAACAGATGTAAATAACATTGCCACTGCCCCACAGGAGCTCACAGGCCAGTTGCAAAAGCAGATATGAAAAAATGCCAGTGATGGTTAGAAGCCGAATGGTGGAAATGGAACTGTGGGGATTCCAGAGGAGAAGCCCATTCATTCAGCCTGGGAGAGCAGAGAATGCTCCCTGGAGGAGGCAGATTCATTCAAGTTGGACCTTGAACGATATTTAAGATTTGAATAGTCAGAGAAGGGGAAGAAAGACATACTAGGCAGGTGGAAGAGGTACCATGTGGAGTGGCTGAAGCATCAATGCAAGACTGCATCCATGCAAAATGATGGTTATGTGGGCAGGTTGCAGAGGGCTTTGAGTGCCAAGCCAAGTGGAGCCTGTGGGTTTTATTCTCCTGGGCCATGGTGAGTGGTTTCAGCAACTCAAACAAGAGAAGGATTGGATCTGATCATTACCGAGGGTAAAACTTGCCATTATAAAAATGAATATGCCTACCTAAGACTGAGAAATATTGGCTGGAATAAGTGACCAGATTTTCAATTCTTTGTCTGTGGGGGTTTGCTTCCTGCCGGAGGCAAAGGGGCCAAGAAGGATGATGTCACAGGGGCCGTGGGATGCCTCATGTCCAGAGCAGGCAGCCAAATCGTGCTTACCGGAGACCAAGCGGCCGGGGAGATGAAGAAAGCATTTAGCACCATATACCAAACTTCCTTCGATCTCTACAGCCCCAGTGGGCTCCTTGAGATCTGGGGAAGCTATAGAAGGGAAACTGAGGCACAGAGGGACTAATAATATAGCAAGTTGGAGCTAGATAGTCCTGAGTCTGCATCCCCTTTCTACCTGTTAACTAGTTGTGTGACCTCAGGGACAAATCGCTTGACTTTTCTGAGGCCCCATTTTCTTATCTGCAAAACAGGATAATAATGGTAACTATTGGCCAGGCGCGGTGGTTCATGCCTGTAATCCCAGCACTTTGGTAGGCCAAGGCGGGTGGATCACCTGAGTTCAGGAGTTCGAGACCAGCCTGTCCAACATGGTGAAACCCTGTCTCTACTAAACATACAAAAAAATGTAGCTGGGCATGGTAGTGGGGTGCGTGTAATCCCAGCTATTCAGGAGGCTGAGGCAGGAGAATCGCTTGAACCTGGGAGGTGGAGGTTGCAGTGAGCTGAGATTGTACCATTGCACTCCAGCCTGGATTACAAGAGCGAAACTCCATCTCAATAATAATAATAACTACTTCACAGGGTGATAGTGAGGTTGCAGTGAGAGAATATAGAGTGTTTCTGTCAAGCTGCTGTGTGTGCATTAAATGCTCACCAGATGGTAGCTGTTGGAAGAGCTCCGGAGACTTTGGAGAGGCTTGGCGCCTAGGCTTTCCTAACCTCTCACTTCCCCTTCCTCCCTTAGTCCTTGCTGATTGTCCTCTGACCAGGCTGCCATCCACCCCAGGAATAGCCAGAGAAGAGTGGGAATGAAAAGTGTAGATACTTGCCTGGGAGTTTTACAGTCAGAGAAAACCAAAGCATAGCACGTATTTTTCACCACTTCTCCGAAGAGGGTAGGATATGCATCATACCTTTTTTTCCTAAGTCCTTTGAAATTTTAGCTATAAATGGTAAAACACATCGATGAATTTCCCCATGAATATTTGTTGAAATGGCACTTTTAATACGAAGCCATTTGAAAAGTGAACCTCCAAGGAAAATGCATTTTGTGCAGCCATGGATCTTAAAATATTTACTATGAATATGCTCATCTTAGAAATATTACACACTGCTTTTTTATTATTTGTTCTGGATGAAATCGCAGGGATTTGGCTTAGATGGTTTTTACAAGCTAAACAGTATTGGCAAGATGATTTTCTGGACTCTATTCAACTTTCTTTCTTTCCAGTTCTTGATGTGTTGGTTTCTGGCAATTTTTTCAAAGATGTCTCTGGGATTTGCAAACAGTCAGTGAATGGGGGCTAAGCACACACCTGCTAACAGATAAGTTATGAAAAAAAATAATTTGAGAAATATGGACACTTGAGCTAGAACAATCCTAGAGGTTGTCTGATCCGATGCCTTTGCTTATACATGAAGGTGGCCTGAACGCCATTTCTCACCCCTCTGATCAGATTGGCAAAAGTTGAAAAGAGTAATAACTCTTAAAATCTTTACAGATGCAGGAAATAAGTGTTTCATACATTGCTGGTGGCGGGGACATGAATTGCTACAGACAATGTGGAGAGCAGACCACCCATATCAGTTAAAATTAAAACTAGACAAACCCTTTGAATCAGGAATTGTACTTCTGGGAATCTGTCCTATAGAACAAAAAGCACGGCCGGACATGGTGGCTCATGTCTGCAATCCCAGCACTTTGGGAGGCCAAGGCAGACAGATCACGAGGCCAGGAGTTCGAGACCAGCCTGATATGGTGAAACCCCGTCTCTACTAAAAATACAGAAATTAGCCAGGCATGCTGGCGGGTGCCTGTAATCCCAGCTACTCAGGAGGCCTAGGCAGGAGAATCGCTTGAATCCAGGAGGCGGAGGTTGCAGTGAGTGGAGATCACGCCACTGCACTCCAGCCTGGGCGACAGAGCGAGACTCCATCTCAAAAAAAATAAAATAAATAAAAATAAAAAAGCACTAGTATGTAAATATCTGTGTAGAGTAATGCTTGTCAAAGCATAGTTTGTAGTGGTACCTGCTGCAGCGTCTAAGAACAGCCTGGATATCCATCAAAAGGGAAATGTGTGAATAAGTTGTTCCCTGATTCTGTAGACTAGTGGTCTCTAAGCATTTCTGATTGCTCATTTGATGATAGCATGCACTTCCAAAAGATGGATATTTATTTGCATGTGTGAATACCTTAAGTGTAGGATAAACAAACAGAAAATAGAAATTTTAAAGAGAAGAGATCAAAATAAATAGAGATAAAATTTTTCATATGTTTTCCTTGTGCCGGTACAGTGTATACACCTCATTCTGGAGATTCCCAACTAGAGAATATTAGATTTGCCTTCAAAGGAATGAACGTTTTGCATCATTTAAGGGCAAATTGAATAGAAAACACAGAAAAATCATTTTATTACATTTTTGCAAAAACAAATGATGGCCCCCAAATTTTTATATCTATATCTATAGACATATAGACACAGACAGAAATATAGATATATACACATACGCTTTTATATATTTATATGTGAATGGTGTGATAATGGTGTGAATGGATACTACCAGGCTGTCACTGGTTACTATATCAGGGGGCTGAACGGGAAAGTAGGAAAAGGAGAAGAATTGGGGAAAAATAAGATACAAAAACTATAGGCCGGGCACAGTGGCTCACACCTGTAACACCAGCACTTTGGGAGGCTGAGGTGGGAGGATCAGTTGAGGTCAGGAGTTTGAGACTAGCCTGGCCAACATGGTCTGTACTAAAAATGCCAAAATTTGGCTAGGGGCAGTGGCTCACGCCTGTAATCCCAGCACTTTGGGAGGCCGAGGTGGGCAGGTCACCTGTGGTCGGGAGTTTGAGACCAGCCTGGCCGACATGGTGAAACCCCATCTCTACTAAAAATATGAAAATTAGCTGGGCATGGCAGTCCATGCCTATAATCCCAGCTACTTGGGAGACCGAAGCAAGAGAATCACTTGAACCTGGGAGGCGGAGGTTGCAATGAGCCAAGATCCGGCCACTGCACTCCAGCCTGGGCGACAAAGCAAGATTCCATCTCAAAAAAAAAAATTAGCTGGGAGTGTTGGCACACGCCTGCAGTCCCAGCTAGTCGGGAGGCTGAGAAAGAGGATCACCTGAGCCCAGAAGGTGGAGGTTGCAGCGAGCCAAGATCGCACCACTGCACTCCAGCCTGGGTGGCAAAGCAAGACCCTGCCTCAAAAAAAAAAAAAAAAAAAAAAGACTACAGAAAAATGGAAAAATATTCATGATATAATGTTAAATAAAAAAGAAAAGGTTCTATCTATTACATCATGCATTCATACAGGTAAAAAATTAGCAGGAAAAGGGAGAAGAAGGCAATGCAGACAAATGAAAGAACTGATTTGATTAGGTGCACAATTTTTGTCTTGGGTATTGGTTACCATTTTAATATTCACTTGAACAGATCCTATTTCAGCCTCTCTCTGGGTTATTTTCTTCTCAGATCTCCATCTCTCAGCACAATGATGCCATTCATTGGTCTCTTTGCAGCGATCGTCTGCGTGCCCACATCTATGCTCCATGGGCCCCACATTCCTGTGTCTTCATTTTGCGCAGCTAGCAGACAGACAGGGGTCTCCCAGGCCCAAGCCCAAGTGACCAAAAGGAGAATCCAATTGCCCAGCTCTGGTCAGGGGCCCCAGCAGTCCCGTGAGCTCTGGCCAAGGAGACAAGGTCATGAAGTCAAACCCAGATGTCAGCTCTACTGCCCTGTTTGAGTGATAGTTCTCAGGGAAAATGATAAGAGTCTTCCAAAGATGCATGGCCAGTTAGAGGTAGGGTCAGTTGTAGAGCCCGAGTTCCCCAGACCCCAGGCAGGGTCCCTTTGGAATTGCTTCATTCTCCACATCGAAGGACTGGTGACCCTAAGAAGGACTTTCTCAGTGATTTATGGGATTCAGAGAAGCAAGAGGTGTCAAAATGGGACCCAGAAAAATAGCAGTGACACAGAGCAGAATGTGGCTTTTTAAACGAGTGAAAGTAGTTGAAGGTGGCTCTGGCTTATTTCCATCTGCTGTCCTTCAATGACTGAAAATCTGCATAGAACAGTTGGCTTATGGCGTCCACTGGCCAATGCAGCTCTCAGAGCTGAGAATTTGCTCCCTTCCTGTGTATAAAACACCCTCTTCTTGGCCTCAGGCCTCGGCCTGACCCTGAGCAGGGTAAAAAGGCTCAGCCCACTGAAAGAGAGACAGAGAGAGAGAGAGAGAATGAGAACGAGTGAGGGGTCCTGGCTGGCAGAAGGCTCTGCCATTAGCTGGGGAGCTGAGGTTGGGATAAGCCCTGCTCAGCACTCAGACAGGCAGGAGCCTGCACCAGGTCCAGGCAACTTCCTTGATCAGAACTTGACAGTGCCAGAAATGGCTCCACTGCCCTTGGTTACTGGGCCATTTGAGGGGAAAATTGAATTATAATCCTAACATCCCTTGTACGTCTGGAAATTTGTCATAGTAATTAAATGCTAATAAGGCAAGAGAGATTAAACGGATAGTTTCCTTAAAGATTACACTCCACCACCAAGATCAGGTAGAAATTATAAGTAATGTAGTGGTGTAGTCAGATCACTCCAGCTGAATAAATGCCACGATGAGAAAGCAAAGAGTCGTTCAGTTTTCTATATTTGAATATCTCATTAGAGTCTGTCATTCAGAGACATATCGGGTGGCAGAAAGGTGACATTTAAGGTCTCTCATGGAAAGCCAAGCCCTTAATTATCTGATGGAGGTTAATGTGGCCACGGAACAGGGGAAGTCTGGGTGTAACCGGGGAGAATGGATTGTGCTAAGAGCAGGTTTGGTGGATGGACCCATAGAG
Source organism: Homo sapiens (assembly GCF_000001405.40). NCBI lineage: Eukaryota > Metazoa > Chordata > Mammalia > Primates > Hominidae > Homo > Homo sapiens. The sequence goes on along the minus strand of NC_000017.11, from coordinate 6,131,278 downwards.
GGGGGCACCCCGATGGGAGGCCTGGGTGGAGTTTTCCTGCTTTGCTTTTTCCCTACCAGGCTGAATGTGGGGACCAGGAGCATTCTCCTTGGCATAAAGAAGGGATGAGCACAGTTATAAGGAAAGAAAGCGTAGGAAGTGATCTCTCTGCCACAATAATGATGTAGGCAGAAGGCCAGCCAGCCTACAGGCCTGGAAAGACTTTGCTGAGTATGCTGAAGTCTGCAATGTAGTATGTGCAGGGGCAAGGGTAAGTGTGTGTGGCAACAATGATGGCTGTGACTCTAGTGTAGAAGGCCCTCCATGGGAATATAGTAGGCAGCCATGAAAATCGCTCCACAGGTTTCCTGCCTCCCAGGATTCATGCCCTTGTGTAATCCCCTCACCTGCATGTGGGCTGGACCTAGTGATGCGCTTCTAACAAATACAATATGATAAAAGTGATGTGATGTCACTTCCAAGGTTCAGTTACCAGAAAAAAAAAAAAAAAGACTGTGACTCCTGCCTTGCTTGCACTCTCTCTGGCTCTTCTCACTTGCTCACAGTGGTGAAGCCAGCCACTGTGTTGTGAGGTGCCCTGTGGAGAGGCCCAGGTGGCAGGGAACTGAGGGTGGCCTCTGACCAACAGCCAGCAAGAGGTCCGCAGTCTGACAGCCTGCAAGAAATGGAATCTTGCCATTATTCTACCTGAGTGAGCTTGGAAGTGAGTTCTTCCCAAAGTGAGCCTTCAGCTGAGACTGCAGCCAAGTCCAACTTCTCGGTTACAGCCTCATGAGAGTCACTGAGCTAAGCTATGCCTAGATTCCTGACCCGCAGAAACCCTGAGTTAACAAATGTTTGTTTTAAGTCGGGTTTAAGCTGTGGCTAAGTTCTGGGGTAGTTCGTTACATGGCAGCGGGTAACTAACACAAGGAGCTTTAGACTTTATGATAATACTGGGGTGGGAGGCCTCAGGTTGACCAGTAGGCAGACCCTCCTTGCTGTGTCTCTGCATTCTCGCCCTTGCCCTATAACAGGGAGAGGAAGTTTCTTCCTGAACCTAGCTGGAAGTGGGGTCTTTGTGTCCTACCTCAGGGCCTACGATAGATGGGTGGTTAATATTAAAAGAAAAAAAGTTTTGCTATAGGTTTAATGAGCTTTAGGTAATGAGCTACAGAACCAGAAGAGGCAGAGAAGATGCTGCTTCCCATCTACCTCGAGGCAAAAAAGAACAGTGCCCATCTGCAGTGGAGACTCTGAGTTGGAGCAAAGGTGTGGATTGTGCCATTAAACTATCGTTCTGAACATCCATGAACAGAGATTTTGACAGGTATCCTAACAACTTGTTTCCTGTTCCTCAAGAGTTGGGAACAAGTGGTTGATCAAGAACTGTGCCAGCTGAGAACAATTCTCCAGCAAAATTTGGTGGCTGCCACATTTCTTTGCCTTTTACATCTGCAGCACGGAACGATTATAGCACAGCTCAGTTCCTGAGCTTCTCAATAAACAGCTGGTGGAAAAACTCAACCAAATATCCTCAGCAACATATCCTCAGCTTGTAATTGGAAGAGAAAGGTACTATTTTCCAGGAAGATATTATTTTCTTGGAAAACTTTAAAAGCCAGGTGATTTAGAATTTTAATCTATCCGTCCTTCTATTTCATTAACATTTCTTGTGCCTCCTGTATACCAGGACCTGTGCTAGGAGCTAAGGTTACAAATATAAATGCAAAATACAATACTATCCCTGCCTCTACTGGCTTAAACATATAATGAAGGCAATATATAAATATAGCTTTTTGGCCAGGCACGGCGTCTCACGCCTGTAATCCCAGCACTTTGGGAGGCCAAGGCAGGTGGATCACCTGAGGTCAGGAGTTCGAGAACAGCCTGGGCAACATGGGGAAATCCCATCTCTACTAAAAATACAAAAATTAGCCAGGCGTGATGGCAGGTGCCTGTAATTCCAGCTACTGAGGAGGCTAAGGCAGGAGAATGGCATGAACCTGGGAGGCAGAGCTTGCAGTGAGCTGAGATTGCACCACTGTATTCCAGCCTGGGCAACGGAGCAAGATTCCATCTCAAAAAAAAATATATATATATATAGCTTTTCAAGTGAGTAAAAATCATTGGAGAATTGTTTATGGAATCAAACACAGAAAACAAAGAATGGAAGGAATAAATAAAAATTATTTTTAGGGTATTTTATTTTTCCCAGGGCACTATCCATTTTGCGGAGGAGACCTGACAAAGATTGAGAAGCCAATTCTTGTGAAGTGAAAGTCTGTCATGATATCATTTGTTGAAGTCTATGTTTTGAGCTGGTACAAAAATCATTCCATTGGATTATGTTGTGGATGTGATAAGCAGAACTTTAGAAAGCCCAAGCTAGGTGAGGACTGAGCCAATTCTTATTTCAAACTTCTAATTTTTAAGATTCAGAGAGGCAAGACACTTGCCCAAGATCACACAGCACATAAATTGTCCTTCTAGATTAGAACCTTGGCCTTCTCACTCCAAGCCAGCATTTTTATGTGCTCTTAGGTCACAAGAGAGCATCAAAGATCTGGTTTTCATGACTAACAACCTGGTTTTCCTGGTGATGGATTAAGCATCAAGGACCTTGCTTACATGATGGTAGGTTCAGCAAGCACTTACTTTGTTCCCTGAATCAAGGTATACAATAACATAGCCACGCTTGAAAATAAGAAGAGGCACTAGACTGGACCCAAAACTGAGCTGAAAGATAGAAAGTAGACGGGAAGCTTAGAAGGAACCCACAGTCCAGGACCTAGCTGGGAATTCTGCCTCAGAAATACTGGTGCTTCCTACTGAGAGTGGGTGGAATTTGGGAGCAAGAGGTGGCCTAGGGGTAATTAACAGAGTCATTATTAAGGCGTCATACCTAAGGCAGAAGGCAGGATGGTTGACACCTCCACAATTCCCCTCTATTTTCATGAACACACAATCACTAAAATTTTGATAAAAATCCAAACCAGGAAAAATATAGCAAAATCAAGAAATGAAAAAACCTAAAACCCAAGAAAATAGAGTTGATAGGGCAAACACGACAGAACATTTACATAAATATATTTAATATCTTCAGAGGGAGGCAAAAGAGTATCATGGCCATAAAGCATGTCCAGATTGTTATAAAAATCAACTAGAAGTCTCATGAATAAAAAACATAAATATAGAAATCCATAGATGCGTTGACGAGCAGAATGTGCACAGTGATGTGCAAATTATAAATTTTGACTATTAAAGTAAAGAATTATGGCAGGACCCAGTACAATGGGATTGAGAGATAAAAAGTATAGAAAAAGAGCTGAGTGTGGAAACCGGATTTTTGAGTTCCAACACCAGTGCCAGAATGAGAGATTAACAAAAAGAGATGGCAATATTCAAAGAGATAGTAGCTAATATGTACTAAAATTAAAGAAAGAAATCCAGTGTAATCCCAGCACTTTGAGAGGCTGAGGTGCGTGGATCACAAGGTCAAGAGATCAAGACCATCCTGGCCAACATGGTGAAAACCCCATCTCTACTAAAAATACAAAAATTAGCTGGGCATGGTGGCAGGCGCCTGTAGTCCCAGCTACAAGGCTGAGGCAGGAGAGTTGCTTGAACCTGGGGGGCGGAGGTTGCAGTGAGCCGAGATCACTCCACTGCACTCCAGCTTGGCAACACAGCGAAACTCCATCCAAAAAAAGAGAGAGAGAGAGAGAGAAGGAAGGAAGGAAGGAAGGAGAGAAAGAAAGAAAGAGAGAGAGAGAAAGAGAGAGAGAGAGAAAGAAAGAAAGAAAGAAAGAAAGAAAGAAAGAAAGGAGGGAAAGAAAAAGAGAAGAGAGAGCGAGAGAGAGGGAGGGAGGGAAGGAAGGAAGGAAAGAAAGAAAAGAAAGGAAGAAAGAAAGAAAAGAAAAGAAAAAGAAAGAAATTGAAAGTTGCACTATGTGCCGAGCAGAATAAATTTTTAAAAATAATACAGGTCTGGCCAATATAAATTGGGAATATTCCTTTAGCTTCACAAGTAGATGATTCTGCTGCTGTCAAGGCAGTGGGTTGAGGACATTAGCTCTGAATTCATTATTATGACTTGGATATCACCGATCCTCTTGGATGATGCTTCAAAATATCCACTACATGCAATATGATCCAATGGCCAGTGCTTCTCTATGGACCACAAAGCATGCTCTGATTGCTGGACTTTTTCCTTATTGGTGTTGTGGTGTACAAATGATCCCCATCTCCTGGTGTTCATGCCTTTGTGCAATCCCCTCCCCTTGGATGTGACTAGGGCCTGTGACTCACTTCTAACCAGTAGAATGTGGCAAAGATGAAGGGATGTCACTCCTGTAGTTACATTATGAATGTTAGACTGTCTCACTCTCTGGGCCTTGAAGAAGCCAACAGCCATGTGGTGAACATGGAGATACCCACATGTCAAGGAACAGTGGATGGCATCTAGGAGCTCAGGGCCTCTGTCCTACAACCACATGCAACTTGATTCTGTCAACGATCTAAGTAAGTTTGGATTATTCCTGGTCAAATCTCCAGATGAAAACGCAGTCTGGCTGACATCTTGATTGCAGCCTGATGAGATCCTGAAGCAGAGAACCCAGTTAACCATGCTCAGCCTCCAGACCCACAGAAACTGTGGAATGATAAATGCATGTTGTTTTAAGCTGTTCTGTTTGTGGTCATTTGTTGCTCAGCAATAGAAAACAAATACAGGTGATTCTGGTGAGGGATGATTTCAACCTTCGGCAAGTGCCATGGTACAACTGGATGGTTGAAGGCTTAGAAAGTATCTGTATTAGCACCACTATTCTGCTTCCCTGGGCTTCCTCCTAGACACATACTAAATGTGTGCCCTGCCTTCCAAAGTGAGGGTAGATTATTCTGTCATCTGGGTACCATAGATCTGACTGTGGGAGAAAGAATTATCTAAGTGAGTTGATGCCAAAGTCCAAGTGACCAGGCTCTTGTCACTTGTAATGCTCAGGATGGCTGGCATTGGATTCAGAGGGGCAGCTGTCTGCAACTGGAGCTCTTACAAATACATACATACTGCTGGGACCCACCAAAGATCCTTGCCTATTAATTAATGTCTTGGAATAACGGGACCTTTCTTTGTCTGGGATTTGGTGACTTGGGATGAAAACTCTGGGCTCCTAGCTTACGGCATTATGGTCCATCTCACTGACTTCCCTTCTTTGGAAAGGGATTTTTCTTCTGAGCAGGTTGTCAAGTAGTGGGGATGCTTGATAAAAAGCTCTTAAAACTCAGTTGCCCACCAAAATGTATTCTGGCAAAGAATGAGCAGTGAAATTCATGGACTTGCTTCCAAATGAGCTGTCTGTGCACACTTGTCCCATTTCCAGCAACTTCTTGAAGAATTATAGGTATGCAATGTGGGGCCAACCAGGTGGTTTAGTGGAATGAATCCACCTTCTGGTCCCAGCTCCACCACTCATTCCCACAGCATGACTTTGTATGAGACCTCTCCCCATTCCAAATCTCATTTTGCTCTTCTATAAACTAAAGCTGTGAAATTTTGGCTAACTCAGTCTCCGAAACCACATATCCTATTCCCTCCACATGGAAATAATAATGTTCACCTCACTGAGGCACATATGGGATGATGTTTGTGGAACTTTGTGACCCAAAAGAATTTTGTTCACTGTTATTGATCATCATTATTCACACCTTCAAACCATGGATCTGTCACTGCTGATGCCTGAACCTGAGAAAAATTCTTAAGTACTAAAGACACCTTGGAAAGTTAATGCATTCAGCTCATGGTTGTGCTTATAATATCAACTGGGATTCTTTTTATTTTTGACATCAAGATTCCTCATTTTATATTGCCTCATTTAAGCTGGATCTGCTCATATTTCCCATGGCAGGGACCTGGATGTCTGCAGTGTGTCTGCACATTTGGGCCCCTCCTGAGAACTTCCAGAAGTTCAAAATCTATCTTCAGTCACAAAAGGGAGCACTGCAGACAAATATACTCAAATAAATTTCCTGGGATCCTGGCCTTTTTCTACATATTGTATAGATTTTCATCCTGGCATACTGTATAATAGACATTCCAAGGAGAGTATGAAGATGGGGAGCCACATATAACTCCCTCTGTTCCTCTGATTTCTGGCATATAGAGAGCTAAAGAGGGAAAGACAGAGGGGGAAACTCACAGTGGCATCATTCACCTCCCCTCCAACAGCAGCAATTCAGCTCTGCCCCAAGCTTGCATGTCCCACTTTGCAAAATCAATGCTATATGGTTAACCACACCTACCCTCCCTAGAAGGGAGTTTACTGTCTATAAGCTGTTACACAAGCATGTCCCCTGAAGGGGCTAAAGAGGTCTTATCCCCAATCCAAGTAATTTATCAAATAATTTCCTTCCAATACCACATCATATACTCCATGAAAGAAGTTACAGTAACTACAAAAGGGCCATACTTTGACAGTCATTACAAATTGGAATCCCAGTCCTCTCATTTTTCAAGCAGAGATAATAAATAATAACCACACCAAAGGGTTAAACATTAAATGAGACAACTAATGGTTTGGGCTGGGCACCTTATGAATTATTGTCTATGGCTATATGGGTGACCTCACCATGTACCAACTTAAAAATGCTACTTGTCTTGGCTAAGCACAGCTTTCTATTGAGCATTTGCACTCAGCTCAATTCCTGTGAAAAGTAACCTCCCAATCCTACAAGCTCAAGTTGGACTGAGTTTCAGGCTTTATCTAAATCAGCCACAGAGATAGAGAATGTCAGAGCCCCAGGGCTTTTCAATTCAACCCATTTGCACCATGTTCTGAGTTATAAGTAACAGAAATTAAACTCAACCCAACTTAAACAATAAACAGAATTTATTAGCTCATATAACAAAAAAAGTCCAGAGGTAAGGCCAATCTCAAGCAAGGCTTGATCCTGTACTTAAACAATTTCACCAAGGACTTGATCTCTTTCTGCCTCTCAACTCTCCCTTCAGTGGTGTCAGCTTCACGTGATTCCTGGTCATGATCCCAAGGCCCAAGGTGGTCATCATAAAGACCCAGGAATACTACTACCTTTTTCACATTCAACAGGGGAATTAAAACAGCTTCTACCCAGCATTCCCATAAGTCTTGAAATTCCCTCTGGCTTCATTGTCTTAACTCACAAGATCATACCTAACCCAGTCACCATAGCTGGAAAGATGGAAGGTGTCATTGGCTTAGTCCAGGACATGTATTCCACCCCTGGAGAGGCTCTGGCAGATCATATGAATTCCCAAACAGAAATGGGGGGTTGCTGGGAAAGGAAATGGAGGAATGAATGTGGATGCAATCAGCAAGACCTACCACTTCCCCCATTTTATGGATGGGAAACTGAGACTGGAGATGGGAAAAGCTTTGTCCAAGATGGCAGATAAGAGCTGGGACTACAACCTGGCCTTTCAGTCTGACGACTCTACATTATTTCCACTCTACTTTATCCCCACCTTGTTCAGACCAACTCACCCAATATTGAGTGGTGATAAATAGGAAGTCAGACGAATCAATTTCTCCCTATAGTGAAATGAACCCCTTTGGAGTCATCACATTTCAGATACCTCCAATGGGTTTCCGAGCAAGTCAGCAGAAAACAAACCTGTGTCCCAAGAATTCTTGCAGTCGTAACATCAACCTCAGCACTTCTCCTCTCCTCTTGGGGCCCCCTAAGAACCAAGTGGCTACTGCTACTTTTAAGGGGAGAATGCATTCTGATATGCAAACATTATCACAGATTCATGCACTCAAAATCTAATTTTAGCTGCAAGAGACTTCATTATAAGATGTTCACATAATTAAGCAGCTTTCTTCCCAGGGTTTGGAAGCCTGTCTATTCTTCTCTCTCATTTACACATCACTGGGACTACCAGGATGTGTTTTAGTTTTTTAAAATTACATATTTTGGTTTTTCCAAATTGATCCACAACGGGAGATGAAATCCATAAAAATTACATGTTTTAACACAGGTTTGTGTAACTCCACAGGCTTGCTATTAAAGTTGGAATCTGTAGACAGTCAGGGTTTCTCTGTTCTGTTCTAACCGGTTCCTGATGCATTTGCCACACTTCTGCCCTACATACAGATCAGCTTTTATTCCTTGGCTGGTTGGGAGAGTATCCTCTTTACTGAGAAGCTAAGAGCTGTAGATGAGACCTAACTTGGAGAAAAACAAATGGACTTTCCTGCAAGCACAGACAGATCCCCGTTCCTGTTTCTGATGAGATCTCCCACGTAGGCAGACCTGGGATGAAGGCTGTGAGGACCACTGCCAGCTGACAGGGCCGTTGCTCTTCCTTGCTCATCAACATCCAGGAGTACCTGCCAAGTGCCAGGTGTCTTGCTGTATGGACTGACTCAGCGTAAACTGGATGGACACTGACCCCATCACTCTACTTGCCTGCACTCTTCACTGAGGTACAGAGTCATCTACAAGGCCACAGGAGCTGGTGATGCTCTACCTGGAGAGAGATGACATCTCTGGGTACCTGGCAGCAGTGAATGTACCAATCCAACTACCAGGAAAAGCCTGGTGCTGTTGCTCTCCCCAGACCCTGGCTCCAGTCCCGGTCACTCCTCTCTCCACACTTTGCCCTTCCCAGCCTCCATGGCTTCCCCACTGCCACGCCTGACATTGCTTTCAAGGATCTAGGCTTGCTCTGGGATGCAGGTCTGCCCTGGCTATCCCGTCCACAGCAGTGTGGAAACTCCTGAGGGGTCTCAATTGCTCCTGATACTAGGAAGAAATAGCTCCATCAGGGGCCTTCGCAGATTGGATGCCGAAGCTATCCTGAGCCAATAAACATTTTCAAAGACCTTGGTGTTTCTAGCTTTGAGCTGAACTGAGTTGATGCTATGGGAGGGTCAAGAACAGCTTCGCATCAGTGTGGGTTTGGGGGAATCCCAGGAAGGATTTGGAGGCCACCAGGGGCACAGATGCCCAAACCCACCCACTGGCCAAACTGAAGGTTGGAGGAAGCTTCCATCTGGGGAAGGGCAGCTCTACTGGGCCTTCCACCCCCGGCCTGTGCTCATAGCGGGTGGCTCTGGGTTCCCCATCATCAGGCTAGGAAGCAGAGGGTCAGGATATCTCAACGTCCTGCTCTCCCAGATCCCTCACCCTGCCTTCTCCTCCCAATGCAGCTTGGCTCAGGCTGAAGGGAGGTCTCCCTGACAGCTGACCCAGAGCAGGACCATGGGGCCTGGCCAGGGTTATCCTAGGCCTGAAGAAGCCACTGAAGGGCTGCCTGAGTTCAGGCCCACCCACCTTCCCACCTCCCTGACCTCCACAGAGGCCAGTGTGCAACCGGATCGCCACAATCCTCCCTGCATCTCGGCCACCTTGAGCGTTGCTCCTGGGTTGCACTCCTACCCTCCATACTTGAACCTCCTGGCCTCCACAGCCTCACTTGTGAGCCCAAGATGTGTAGCATACATTGACCCCCATCCCAGGCTGGCAGGACCAGACCTAGGGGTCAGGCTGAGTACTAACTAGCTCTCATGACCCCAGTGTGGGACCCCAGAGAGAACAGGGCCCCTATGGGTGGAGCACCAGTACCAGTAATCGCGGAGATACAGCCCTTACAATCTCCCCATGCCAACTCCCAAGACCCATCCTGCTAGTGTACAGGTCCCCAGGGGTCCTGGGCTCCCCTGGAACTTCAGCTCCTGCCCTCTTCCCCACGCCCCCATGCTTACACCTTGCTTCTGGGGCATGACTTGAATCTCCAGCTTCCCTGAGGATAGCTGGAGGAAGAAGCCAGGCAAGGAGGCCCCAGGCCCCGGAGCATGGTGTAGGAGGGGTTGAAGGGGGTGGTGGGCAGTGCACAGACTTGGTGTGGCTGGTCTTGAGGTCAGTGTCTGCATTGGCTTGGGCGGGGTGGGGGGCAGTCCTCAACCCTGCCCATGGTGCAGCCAGCCCAGCCACAGAGAAAAGAGAGGCAAGGCTGCGGAGTTTGTGGTGCCCGTAGTCACACCACACACACATTTATGGGATGTCAGACACACGGCCAGGGCCGCACACCCTGGAAGCAGCAGTCTTTGTGCCCACCTCCATCCCAATGGTCCTTGCTGCTCAGAGCATAAATGTCTGCCCGGCCCAGCATCCCAGAGTCGAACACCCTGACGAGCAAGTCTATGCCAGGGCTACACACAGGAAGCCCAGGGCCTCCCGGATCCCAGGGAGCGCACGTGTATCTGTGTGAGAGAGACAGCCAGCCAGCCTCCAGGAGCACACGGCCTGGCACCTGTGTGTTACGTCTGTGCGTGGCTGCATTTGTATCTGGGGGTGCCTGGCACACCCCACGTGGGTGGCTTCTCTGCATCAAGACGGGGCTATGAGCCTGGAGTGGTGTCTGAGTGTCTGAGGAGGTGTGGGTTCGTGGCCAGGTATGTGTGTCCATTTGTGTTCGCCTTGTGATGTGTGTCTGTTGTGTCCAGGTCTCCTTGTGCGGGAGGCAGCACCAGGGTGAGCCCCCCACCCACCGTTCGTCCCAGTGAGGCCACGGGCCTGAGCATCAGAGTGGGGAGCGCAGCCCCGTGGTGCGATTGCGTCACTCAGCGGGGGCGGCGGCGTGGGCCAGGCCTATCATCTGGGCACATACTCCCTGGGCAGCCCCGTCCAGTTGTGGTCACGCAGGGCTTGGTCCACCGTCCGGATGTAGCCATTGATCAAGTCTTTCATCTCCGGGGTGAAGGGCTCAGGGTCGTGGGAGCGCCGGCCGCGCCGCCGGAAGCTGCCCTCCTTGTTGTTCTCCACGCAGAGCAGCCGCTCCTCGCTCACAGACACGTTGAGGAAGGCCACCATCTCCCGTAACGTGGGCACCAGGCTGCGCCGCAGCTCCTCGTAGTGCACCACCAGCAGCCGCTTCCCGTACTTGAGCCAGTCCAGGACGTGCGAGGACCACCACGAGGCGTAGCTGTTGACAAAGTCCGGCCACTCTAGAGTGAGGACAGGAGAGATGCAGAGTCGGGGGCTGGCCCTGCCAGGGCTGCCGGTCCCCGGGGGGCTGCTCGGGAGAGGGAAGTGGGCAGGGTTTTCCACTGTCCACTGCCTAGAGTCAACCTGGCATTCCCCATGGAGGAGGACCCTTTGGTGGCTGAGCAGTGTGTCCGTGGTGGGTGGGGGCAGCTCTGGGCATCCTGGTGGGATGAGGACGCTGTGCAGCCTCCATTTCCCATCCCAGGTCCTCCTATAAAGCTAAGTCAGCGTGATGCCTGATGGGCAAATACGCATCTTGTGGTTTGATTGCCAGTTTGAACCTGTGAAACTGCAGGGCAGTAGGACATACAGTGAAGCCACAGACGGGGTGGCCTCGGACTTTTGCAGGTAATCTACTTTATGAGCTTTCTTTTCCAGCAAATTAAGAAATTAATTTTGGGGGAGGGGTGTGCAGGGTCCAGATATCAGAAATCATCCCAATAAAAAGTTTCCATTATTGGGCTATTAACACACCTCAAACGCCGTCTGAAGCGTTTGCTTTCTCTAATCTTCACAATGACCCTAGGAGACAGGGCCTATCCTTGTTTTTAATGTGAGAAAACAGGCTCAGAAGACAAGATAAGCAGCTTTCCCGGAGTTATACGGCTCATAAGAGGCAGAGGAGGCGTCAGAGATCAGCCTGCCTGACTGTCGGGGGCTGTCTAAGTAAAGGATGATGGGGGAAGGGGAAGACTAGAGGCCGGCAGAGGCCACCCACTGGGTGATCCAGTAACAAGTGGACAGGAGCACAAGCTGGTCTGGCCATGGGTCCTGTGACTTCTCTCACCCCACCCTGCCTGGACACTGCTTTGTTTCTGACCAACTTCATTTCACATCACTTACCACCCAGACTCTATTCGTCACCACCCAAAGGCTCAGCTGTGCATGCCTCGAGGGCAGAGACCCTGACCTCATCAGCCTGCGCTCCTGGTACCTTGCCCCATGCCTGGCACCCAGGAAGACTTCAGCAAGTGTGAGTCAGAAGACTGATTCCATGAATAAAGCTGCAGTGGGGAACAGGCCAATCTGACCCAGAATCAGACACTCTGGATGTTGGGGCCCAGATGCTTGTATGCCCCCCAAATTCACAGAGAGTCCTAACCCACCATATCATGGTATTAGGGATGGGGGATTTGGGAGGCGATTAGAGTCAGATATGGTCATGAGGGTGGGGCCCTTGTGATGGAATTAGTGCCTTTATCAGAAGAGTCACCAGAGAGCTGTTGGGGACATGTGAGGACACAGTGAGAAGGCAGCTGTCTCCAAGCCTGAAAACAGGCCCTTCCTGGGAATGGAATTAGCCAGCACTTTGATCTTGGACTTCCCAGCCTCTAAGACTATGAGAAATAAATGTCTGCTGCTTAAGCACCACCCCCTGCCCCATCCCCCAGTTTTGTGGTATTTTGTTATGGCAGCCAGAGCTGACTAAGACATTGGGTGTGAGTCCCAGCTCTGCTGCTCACCACCAAGGCCAAGTCCTGCAGCCATGTTCTCTGGGCTCATCTGGAATGTAGGGCTGATGTGATTTCCCCACCAGACACTGTGAAGAGTCAGCAAGAGGCAGCTTAGGAGGGAATTAACATGCTGAGCTCTGACCAGAGACCAGGCAGGCACATCATCTCACTGCTCCCTGAATGCCCCACAAGGTGCAGGTCTCATTCTATAAAAGAGGAACCTGGTGCTGAACACAGAGGAAGGTGCAAAGCAGGTCCATGTGCACCCCATGTGCTCTTCTCCCAGCCCTGCATGAGCTCCTGGGCAGAAGCAGAGATGGAAAGGGGTGCATATCACCCCACTATGCACTCATGGAGGCAGAGAAGATTCTTGGTAATCAAGCTGGCATCTAAGTAAAATGCCTTGGCGTATGGACCTCAGCAGGCATGGGGGGCAAGGGGAGGAGGTGAACTCAAGCCCAGGCACAGCAGCACTAAGTCCCTAGCAGGATGGGGTTTGAGTGCCTACCTGTGTATACTGATCCTGCATCCTGCAGTGCCTACCTGTGTAAATTGATCCTGCATCCTGATGAGCAACCTACCTGTACTGACAAGCCTCCCACCCCCACCGCAAGGTCCTTGATTACCTTTGCTCTTCCAGTTGCGGTCAGCTGCATATCCCAGGTGCCCGGCACATTTTCTGTTGAATTCTGCCACCAGGGACCTGTATGGGTTCCGGATTAGCAGGATGGCTGAATCAAACATCTCAATCTCCCTCCTGCCACTCTCGTGGGTTTTGACACAGATGGTGCGTCGGCTCCGCCAGTGGTCCTTTTCGCCCTTGAACCCTGCAGGGAAAAATGAGAGGGTCTCTGTGGAAGATGGTGTCCATGGGGCACCCTACCATAGCAGCAGACAGATTGGGTAAAGCTGGCATCAGGGGCATAAGAGAGGGCCCATGGAAGACACAGAGGACACTGAGAGGACCTATGGATGGTGATAGGAACGGCCTCCACAGGAGTGACCCTGTCCAAGGGAAAGTGACAGCAGGAGTTATCTAACAGTGGGGAAAGATGGCATCTGCAAGAGAAATGAGATGAGGTATTCCCTGAAGACCTCCAGGAGTCAGAGGGCAGAAGACCCGTCATTGCAGATGCACGCATATGTTTTGGGCATCTTCATAGAGATAATTTTACACAAGCATTACAAACAACCTTTGATTTAACCATAGCTGCAAACATAGCTGAATGAAGAGACTAAGGCACAGAGTGAGCATGGGACTTGCCCAAGATCACACAGTGCTGTGAAAACAGCGCCAGGGCTCTCTCCACATGCCACCGTGTGTCTCTGTGAGACCCCCAGCCTCCTCTCACCTCCCCACAGTCAGGGCAGGATCCTGATTTACAGATTCAATGGCTGTGAGCAGGTATAGATCCACCCTCTGACCTGATGCCATGGTTCTATGACAGGGCCCAGCCTTGCCTCAGAGCAGGTCTGGTCAAGGCCTCATCCACAGTGCTTGAGCCTGGCCCTGAGGACCCAGGGCCCAATTTCTATGAATGGAGACTTGTTCCCATTGATCAGCCCATCGGGGGCCCTCTCTTTCCTTGGTCCCTTGCTATAGTACTGGGCACTCAGAACCTGAATGACTGACTACTGGCAGAGAAGGCCAGACTCCGCCCATTCATCCAGAGCCACACATTTATCAATGAAGGTTATTATGTGCTCACTATGTTAGACTTTATTTTGGGGACAGAGGGTTAAGACTCAGACCTTGTCTTTAAGCTTATGTTCTAGTAGAGGAAATAGCCTAAGTGCAGGCTATAGGGGCTTATGGAAACAAAGAGCAGGGATCCCAAATAGTGGGATGTCCTAGAAGACTTCCTGGGAAGAGGTCTCCTGAAACTAGTCTCCTGGCCACACCCAATGTAGCCCATGCTCCCAGCCCTGAGACATGTTCCGTAAGTGCTCATGTGCTTATCTTGGGCTCTTGGAAACAAAATGAGTCCTACCACCTGCCCCTCTGCAGGAATTGCTGGAAAGCATTTGTATCTGCAGTGAGCACTGAGGGACGCTTTGATGCCTGGAAAATGCAAGTCTCTTTTGAATCTGGAAGTCCGGGTTTACCCACTGAAACTCAACAAGCTTCAAACTTATCTCTGCCATGGGCCAAATACCAAAAGGCCTCGCTTTGATTCATTCTGTCAAACAGCTGGAAAATGCTATGAAAGGAAGAGTCAAACTGGAATGAATAAACTTGAGATCTAGTCTTTAACAACCCTGAGACCCGGGGTGCCTTCCATACTGCCTCCGCCTCTTCCAACAACAGCTATTCTGCCTTGCAGCTCAGACCACATTCGACCTACCACAATAGATTTGGTGGTTGGGCATTGGAGATGCCTTGTGAATTGTGCGTGTGTGTGTGTGTGTGTGTGATCACTCTGTCAGTGCTCTGAGGCCACTGGCCACATCTAATGGTCTTGTAAGGCTCAAAGATGTGTGTGAGGTATCTCTAAAGCATTTCTGAGGCAGTGTCGACCCAACCTCTATAGCTGGCAATATCAGTCATTGGGCCGCTTACCATATGTAGACCAAAACAGCCAGCTGCTTGAATAAGGTAAGGGCCTTGGAGATGAACAAGGTGGGTAACTGCAGCCTGGGCACAGTGGGTGATTCCTAGGGGACTAAGCCAGAGTGGACAGGGCCATGTGCTCATGTGGCCACTTCCTCCCTCACCTGAAGATGCCTGTAACACTCGAGGTTCCCAGGGAGTACAAGGCTGGGTTATATGGACAACTATAGCTTTTCCCCAGAACCAAGATTGTTATAAGTGATTCCAGAGCCCAATCCCAAGCTTGGGAAGTTTCTGCTTCTCTAGGATGTTACTGACAGTATCAACTTTCCTACACCAAACTCTGGTTAAGAAATCCAGAGAAAATGGGCTAGGCATGGTGGTTCACTCCTATAATCCCAGCACTTTAGGAGGGTGAGGCAGGCAGATCAATTGAGGTCAGGAGTTTGAGACTAGCCTGGCCAACATGGTAAACCTCCCTGTCTCTACTAAAATACAAAAATTAGCTGGGTGTGGTGGCAGGTGCCTGTATTTCTAGCTACTCGGGAGGCTGAGACAGGAGAATCGCTTGAACCCAAGAGGCGGAGGTTGCAGTGAGCTGAGATTGTGCCATTGCACTCCATCCTGGGCGACAGAGTGAAAGTGAGACTCTATCTCAAAAAAAAAGAAAAGAAAAGAAAAGAAAAAAGGAAAGAAAGAAATCCAGAGAAAATGCTTGACAACAGAGAAATACATTTTAATACATTTTTGCCAAATTTGATGCCAATGGACTTGTCTGAGGTTTTTCATTCTTAAACAAAACACAGTCTTCAGCCATTTAACTTAATTTCTCTTATTTCTACAAGGGAAAGATTACAAATCAAAACTCTTAAAAGATTTTTGGACATTTTTTATTACATTTTGATGAACTAGTTCTTGCCTCAAAAAAGGAATGAGCAGATTAAATCAGTTTCACCCCTAATTATTGAGGGTTCTAAAAATTAAGGAAAATTCAAGAAATGTTTACAGAGAGAAAATTCAAGCTGCTAGTCTTTCTCTTTGAATCCAGAATAGGCACGATCTCATGAAGTTCCGCTCTAAGTGGGGTCCTCGGGCTGCCTTCATCAGGGTCACCTGGGAGCTTGTTAGAAATGAAAATTCTCAGGCCCCACCTCGGACTACCTGAATCAGACTGTCAGGGGTGTGGGCCAGGACCAAGTGATTCTCTTTTTTACTTAAAAATATTTTTATTAAAAAAGAATGAGTTCATGTCCTTTGCAGGAACATGCATGAAGCTGGAAGCCATCATTCTCAGCAAACTAACACAGCAACAGAAAACCAAACACCACATGTTCTCACTCATAAGTGGGAGGTGAACAATGAGAACACATGGACACAGGGAGGGGAATATCACACACAGGGGCCTGTTGGGGGGTGGGGGACAAGGGAAGGGAGAGCATTAGGACAAATACCTAAGGCATACGGGGCTTACAACCTAGACGATGGGTTGGTAGGTGCAGCAAACCACCTTGGCACATGCATACCTATGTAACAAACCTGCACATTCTGCACATGCATCCCAGAACTGAAAGTAAAATAAAATAATAATAAATATAAATATATTTATTATTATTTTAAACTGATGCATGATAAGTGTACATCTTCTTTATGGGGTGCAATGTGATATTTCAATGCATGTATACAATGTTTAATAATCAAATCAAAGTAATTAGGATATCCATCGCCTCAAACATTTATCATTTCTTTGAGCTGGAAACATTCAAAATCCTCTGTTCTGGCTACTTGAAAACATACAATCAATTATTGTCAACTGTAGTCACCCTACAGTGCTATAAAACACTAGGACTTATTCCTCATATCTAGCTGTAATTTTGTATCCTTTAACCAACATCTCCCTATCCTGCCCTCCCTCCTACCCTTCCCAGCCTCTAGTGACCACTATTCTACTCTCCACATCAGTGAGATCAACTTTTTAAGCTTTGACATATGAATGAGAGCATGTGGTATTCATCTTTCTGTGCCTGGTTTATTTCACTTAACATAATGTCCCTTAGGCTCATCCATGTGGCCGTGAATTACAGCATTTAATTCTTTTTTTTTTTTTTTTTTTACGGCTAACTAGCCATTGTGTATATGTACCACATTTTAAAAATTCACCTATTGATAGATACTAAGGTTGATTCCATACCTTGGCTATTGTGTATGGTGCTGTAATAAGCATGAGAGTACAGGTATCTCTTCAACATACTCATTTCCTTTCCCTTGAATATATACCCAGCAGTGGGATTGCTGGATCATATATATGACAATTCTACTTTTTTTTGAGGAGCCTCCATACTATTTTCCGTAAGAGCTGTACTAGTTTACATTCCCACCAATAGAGTATAAGAGTTCCCTTTTCTCCACATCCTCTCCAACACTTGTTATTTTTTGTCTTTTTGATAGTAGCCACTCTAACTGGGGCGAGATGATATCTCATTGTGGTTTTGATTTGCATTTCCCTGATAATTAGTGATACTGAGCATGTTTTCATATACTTGTTGACCATTTGTATGTCTTCTTTTGATAAATGTCTATTCATATCATCTGTCCATTTTTAAATCAGATTCTTTTGGGTTTTTGTTGTTGAGTTCCTTATATACTTTGGTTATTAATCCCTTGTTGGATGAATAGTTTGCCAATATTTTCTCCCATTCTGCAGGCTGTCTCTTCACTCTGTTGATTGTTTCCTTGGTTGTGCAGAAGTTTTTCACTTTGACATAATACCACTTGTCTAATTTTGCTTTTGTTGTCTGTGCTCTTGAGGTCCTATCTCAAAAGCAAAAACATCTTTGCCCAGACCAATGTCCTGAAATATTCCCCGTTTTCTTCTAGCAGTTTAATAGATTTGGGTCTTACATTTAAGTCTTGATTTTGAGTTGATTTTTGCATAAGGAGAGAGATAGGGGTATATCTTCAGTCTTCTGCATATGGTTATCCAGTCTTCCCAACACCATTTGTACAGCCTCAGTCTTCTGCATATGGTTATCCAGTCTTCCCAACACCATTTATTGAAAAGACTGTCCTTTCCCAAATGTATGTTCTTGGCATCTTTGTCAAAAATGAGTTGGCTGTAAATGCATGGATTTATTTCTGGGTTCTCTATTTTGTTCCATTGGTCTATGCATCTGTTTTTGTAGCAGTACCATGCTGTTTTTTGTTACTAAAGCTTTGTAACATATTTTTAAGTCAGTAGTGTGATACCTCCAGCTTTGTTCTTTTTGCTCAGAATTGCCTTGGCTATTCAGGGTCTTTTGTGGTTCCATACAAATTTTAGAATTGTTTTTTTCTGTTTCTGTGAAGAATGTCATTGGTATTTTGATAGGGATTGTATTGGATCTGTTGATTGCTTTTGGTAGCATGGTCATTTTCCCAATATTAATTCTTCCAATCCATAAATATGGGATGTCTTTCCATTTTTTTGTGTGTCCTCTACAATTTCATAAGTGTTTTATAGTTATCTTTGCAGAGATCTTTCATCTCTTTTATTAAATTTATTCCTAGGTATTTTTTCATAGCTATTTAAATGGTACCGCTTTCTTCATTTCTTTTTCGGGTAGTTCACTATTGGTATATGGAAATGCTACTGATTTTTGCATGTTTATTTTGTATCCTGTAACTTTACTGAATTCATTTATTGGTTCTAAGGGTTTCTTGGTGAAGCCTTTAGGCATTTCTATATGTAAGATCATGCCATCTGCAAACAGGGACAAGTGGACTTCCTCCTTCCCAATTTGGATGCCCTTTGTTTCTTTTTCTTGCCTAATTGCTGCATAGGACTTCCATTACTAGGCTGAACAGACATGGTGAAAGTGGGCATCCTTGTCTTGTTTCAGTTCTTAGAGAAAAGGTTTTCAACACTTTCTTCATTTAGTATGATACTAGCTGTGGGTTTTTCACATATGGCCTTCATTGTGGTGAGGTACGTTCCCTCTATACCTAATTTGTTGATTGTTTTTGCCCTAAAGGGATGTTGAATTTTATCATTTATTTCTGCTCTGATCTTCATCATTTCTTTCCCTCCAGTACTTTTGGATTGGCTTGTTCTTGCTTTTCTAGTTCCTTGAGGTACGTCATTAGGTTGCTTATTTAAAATCTTTCTACTATTTTGATGTAGGCATTTATTGCTGTAAACTTTTGTCTTAGAACTTCTTTTGCTGTATCCCATAGGTTTTGGTATAAAATTAAAAACACAGTTGAGAGCTTTTGTAACAGACTAGATCATTAATTTCATTCATTAAAAATTCATTTTAATTATTCAACTAACAGATTTGTTTGGTTGTTTGTATGATATCTATTTCTATCGAATTTCTCATTCGGATCATAAAATGTTTTCCTAATTTCATTGAATTGTCTATTTGTATTCTCTTGTATCATGCTGAGTTTCCTTAAAATCATTATTTTAAATTACTTTTCAGGTATTTCATACATTTCCTTTTCTTTGGGGTCTGTTATTGGAGAATTATTGTGTTTCTTTGCAGACGTCATGTTTCCTTGCTCTTTTTTTTTTTTTTTTTTTTTTTTGAGACGGAGTGTCACTCTGTTGCCCAGGCTGGAGTGCGGTGGCATAATCTCGACTCACTGCAACCTCTGCCTCCCAGGTTCAAGCAATTCTCCTGCCTCAGCCTCCTGAGTAGCTGGGATTACAGGCGCCTACCACCGCGCCCAGCTAATTTTTGTATTTTTAGTAGAAATGAGGTTTCACCATATTGGTCAGGCTGGTCTCAAACTCCTGACCTCAGGCGATCCACCCACCTCAGCCTCCCAAAGTGTTAGGATTACAGGCGTGAGCCACTGCGCCTGGCCTCCTTGCTTTTTCATGTTTCTTGTGTGACTGCATTGATATCTGCACATCTGGTGGAACAGTCACCTCTTCCAATTTTATGGAGCAGCTTTCATAGGAAAAGACTTTTTCTAGTAGATGTATCCTATAGTGTGGGTTGGGTAGCATGCTTAGGTTTTGGTTCTGGGTGGTGGAGTAGTGTAGTCTCAGTGTAATTTCTTTGGCTGTAATCAATATCAGTGGTGTCTGCAAGTGCCTCAGTGGCCTAGATCGTGGGTGTTTGTGGATACAATGGCGTAACTTTGTTGTGGATGGGGACCACCAGGCGGGCTGGTCTTCAATACCTGAAGGGTGAGTATGGCACACAGTGGCTCCACCCACAGGTGACTCTTATGTACACTCAAGTTTGAGATGCACTGCTCTAGTGCTCTGAGAAGCTTGGCTGGCAAGGTGACAGTTTGGTCACCGGGAGCTGCCTTCCATCGTCCCCTGTAGCTTTGACTTACCTTTGTTGTAGAGGGTTCCATCAAAGTAGTAGCTCCCTGTATAGAAGCCAGTGGCATGCTCAATGAGGTGCCGTGCCCATGTGTTCCCGGCTCCTGGGAAGCTTGACAAAGCCACAAACACTTTGGATTTGTTAGGCAGGAACCTCCTGTCTGTACAACGAGTGTCTGAAAGTCCAAAAGTCATCACGGGGTTACTCACTTCCATTATGACTCACCAATTCACCACTAAACTCCCTTAGAGGAACTGATGAACGAAGACTCCCATTTAATAGATGGGGGAACCAAGGCCCAAAGAAGGGAAGAGATCTTCCAAATATACCTTAGCTGCACAGGTCTGTGGCCAGTCCGAGAAAGCCCCGTAATGAGGCCTGCAATACTGCAGTGCAGGAGTAAGATGGGAATCAGACACCCTATGGACCCTCGACTCCCATTCTGTCTCTATGGCCACAGCCAAACTCTTGCTCCTGACATAGCACAGATAATTCCAGATTCTAATAGGGGAAGTGGGTGGGGATTGAGGCTAGGCTGAGCAAAGTAACACACCCAGGTACTGCCAACAATAAACCAGAGCTGGACTAATGACAGGCAAGTCATTCGTTATGTCTCATCCCCAGGGCTGCTACAAGGAGCACATGAAATCACCAGGGGAAAGCCCCAAAACATCCAGGGCCATGCTGGGTCACAGTAGGCACTTGATAAAGGTGGTAACATCCCTCGTCCCCGGCTCTTCCTTTCATCAGTTCCTAAGGTCAACAGGGGCAGACCTGATGCTCACACCAAGGAGGGTTCCCAGGTCCTGGAGGCACCAGTGGCCCCTGCAGCTCCTGGGATCTCATTCTTCCCACGCCTCCCAATCCTACCACCTTTCTGTTGCTATCTCTCTAGGACCTGCCCCTCTCTGTTCATCCTCTTACCATTGTCATCTCCAGAGAGACTTAGATAAAGGGTCCAGTGTTTTTTAAAGTGAGTCCAGGATTCAGCCTCTGTGGAGGGTGGAAAACTGACCCTCCCCATTATCTCCAACACCCATCAAGATGCCAAGACCTTTACACAGACACATGCCATACCTCATAACTGCATGCTTGGCCATGACTGGCATCTCCAAACCCTGGAAGCTCTCCCCACCCCCCAGACCAAATGCCACTACCAGTCGGGGATGCAGAACCCACCTTGCACAGGTGTCTGGTAGACCTCACAGTATTCTGCCAGCCTCTGTGCCTCAGGGTCCTGGCCACATACTGAGCTGTCCATGGCATCCCGCAGGTTGAACCGGGGGGTAGGGTAAGCACAGTAGCATTCCCAGCCCCTGAGAATGGCCAAGGGGAACTCCTGCCAGGGAACGATAAGAAGAGAAGCACACTGAGTGAATTTGAGGGTCATGCTTCCCAGGGCTCAGGAATGGGATGAACATGGACGATGTATTGCCAGCTGTATCTGTATGGAATCCACAGGGATGACCACCATCCTTCCACCACTGTGCTCTGTGCCCAATTCCAGGGGAGACAAAGATCAACAAGATGTGAGCTTCAAGCAGCTCAAGTAGCCCATGTTCTTATAAGCACAGCCCTACTTGGTTGGTTCCTTGACAAGTCAACAGTATGAGCAGCAATATGACTGAGGGATGAGCGACGTGCAGAAAGCAGGGGGCAGAGGCTGGAATCATGTTTTTGAGATTCCAAGGCATTTGTCAGGAGTGCCAGAGATAGAAATGGCACTCTGGGCAGGGGCATCCATATGAGTGGATGTCTGCATGGCACAGAGCGGGGCAGATCAGCTGACTTAGGGCATCCCCAAGGATCCACGTGTCACACCACTAATGAACAGACCTCAAGCCCTGAGAGAGGACTGAGATTCGATTCCCTCTGGTCTTCCTTGGCCAGCCACCTCCCTGGAAAGAGACTAAAACCAACTCTCATGCCAGATGTCCCACTGCAGGGTGCAGAGATTCTCATACAGTCATCTTTCCAAAGATGGAAGGGGTGGAGAAGAACAGACTTTGTTCCCACCCAAGATGCTCAGCCCAAGGAGGATTCTTCAAAATGGAGGGGGGCCCTGTCAGGGGTAGGAGAGAGGAGTCGTCTCACTCTGTGGGCCAGCCCAGCTCCCAGCAGTCTCTTAAGTGGGTCCTTGTTCCCCTTTGGGGAGGCTGCACCACACACTGAAGAGAGCTGGCATCCTGAAGGTGTGAAAGTGAATTCTAGCTCGCTTGCTAGGCACCCTTGAGCAAGGTGCCTAACTTCTTTGAATTTCATCACTGAAAAAAGTAATAAAATCTGCCTTGTAGGTTTAAGGTGAGGGCTGAATGAGACAGGTCCAAAGTGCCCAGCACCGGGCCTGGCATGCTTCCAAGGAGGAAGAGGTCATTCTCGACCTCCCTAACTCTCTGGGCATCAGCTGTGTCTTGCTCAAAAATGTATCCACCCACCTCTCCCACATGTATGGGAGAGTCCTCACTCTGCCCCAGGCACTAGCCCCTTTTCATCTCTTCCTTCTCTGCATCCTACAGTCGGGAGATGCTAGGACTTTTGGAGCGTAGAGAGATGAGAGAGTAATCTGTGAGTGTGTGTGCCAGGGAGGGAGGCAGTGGGTGGAGAAAACTTCTCACTGCTAAGGGGAACACTGCACAAACCTTTTTATTTTTTGCTCACAGCAAAAATCTCATAAATAAATAAGAAAAAGAAAATCAATAGCATTTTTTGAGCATGGCTAGGTAAAGCTGAGGATTTGGGCACTCATAAAAGACAACAGCCTGTGTCCCATGCAAGCGAAGATGACGCAGGGCCTGGGGCATTGGCGGGAGGGCAGGTATCTTTGGAGGGAGTCAGGGGAAATGCTGTTGGAGGTTGCCCCCCACTGTCAGGCTGTTCTTATAAGTACAGGCCGCATGCTCTCCTAGGTGCCAAGCAGCCCCCAAGGAAAGCCTCTCCCGACTCTCCTCGTCCTTCTTCAAGCCAAGGAGGCACCTGCGCTGTGAGTCAGTGCATGATAGGCTATTGAGCCTCGGTAGTACGTCCAACTAGACCCATCCTCACGGCCCCTACACCACTCTTCTATGGAAAGCGAGAGCTGGGGCCTGACCCTCAATCTCAACACTGCTGGCTTTTCCAGAAGCAAGTTTCCCCGGTCATGTGAATTCATGAAAGGCAACTTCAAGAATTGCCACCTCCGGCCTCTACAGCTTCATCCACCCTCTATCACAAAACCCTCATCCCACCTCATTCCACACCAACACCTTCATCACAGGGAGCAGCAGAAACAAGCAGCCCGGATGTCCACGGCACACGGCGGCCCATCTGTGTCTCAGGTACCTCTGTCCATGCTGGCTGCTATGGGCTGAACTGTGTCCCCCAAATTCATATGTTGAAGTCCTAACCCCAGGGCCTTAGAATGGGACCTTATTTGGATGTAGGATCTTTTTTTTTTCTTCTCCTTTTTGAGACAGAGTCTCACTCTGTTGCACAGGCTGGAGTGCTGTGGCAGGATCTTGGCTCACTGCAACCTCTGCCTCCCGGGTTCAAGCGATTGTCCTACCTCAGCCTCCTGAATAGCCGGGATTACAGGTAGCCACCACCATGCCTGGCTACTTTTTGTATTTTTAGTAGAGATGGGGTTTCACCACGTTGGCCAGTCTGGTCTTGAACTCCTGACCTCAGATGATCTGCCCGCCTCAGCCTCCCAAAGTGCTGGGATTACAGAGATAATTAAGTTCAAATGAGGCCATCAGGGTAGGCCCTAATCTAATACGACAAAGGTCCTTACAAGAAGAGGAGGTTAGGATACAGCCAACACACAGACCAAGGGACAAGCACACAAGGACACAGTAAGAAGGCTTCCATCTGCAAGCCAAGTGGGGAGGCCTCGGAAGAAACCAACCCTGCTGAGACCTTGATCTCAGACTTTCAGCTTCCAGAATGAGAAAATAAATGTCTGTTGTTTACACTGCCCAGTCTGTGGCACGCTCTCATAGCAGCCAAGTTGATGA
The DNA here is from genome assembly GCF_000001405.40 of Homo sapiens. Lineage (NCBI taxonomy): Eukaryota > Metazoa > Chordata > Mammalia > Primates > Hominidae > Homo > Homo sapiens. The sequence goes on along the minus strand of NC_000017.11, from coordinate 6,106,953 downwards.
ATGCAGTGGTTTCCTTGCTGTTCCCTGACTTCTCCACTCATGATCCCACCTCAGGGCCTTTGCACTTGCTGTTCCCCCTGCCAGGAATGCCCTTCACCCAGATACCCTCATAGCTCTCTCCCTCACTTTCTTCAAGTCACCTTCTCTGTGGGGCCTTCCCTGGCCACCCCCTTTTCAAGTTGCAAACCCTTCCCACCATCACCACCACATGCTATTCCCTCACCATGCTTTACAGTTTTGTGTACTAACCTATCTGATGACATGCTCTGATCCCAGGTGTACCATTCAATCAAGACAGGCAGCACATCGGTGACACCGGAGGCCCCTCTCCCCATTCACCATCCTCCTTCCCTCCCCAGAGCAACCACCTTTCAGATTTCTATCACCATGGATTCGTTTTATCTATACTGGAATGTCATATAAATAGAATCACCCAGCACATGTTTTTTGTGTGCCTGGCTTCTTTCATTCAGAAAAACATTTGTCAAATCCATTCATGTTGTTATCTGTGTCTGTGGATCATTCCTTTTTCATTGCTGTGTAGTATTCCATCCAAGAATGCACTGGTTTGTTGATTCATCCACTAGTGATTGACACCTGGGCTGTTCCCGGTTTTTAGCTATTGTGAATAATGCTCCTCTGAACATTCTTGTGCAAGCCTTTGGTCCAAAAAAGTTTGCATTTCTCATGGGTAAACACCTATGATTCCTACTTCCTTTTCCTCCATGACACAGATCACCATACAACATACTATATAATTTACTTACCTGGTTGGTTGTCTGCCTCTTTCCACAAGAACATAAGCAGGGTTGTTGTGTTTTTTGTGTGCTTTGTTATATTCTCAGAATCTAGAAAAGTGCCTTGCACATGGCAGATGCTCAATAAATGTTTGATGAATGAAGAAATGAATGAATGAGTGAATGAATGAAGAAGCAAATGAATGTCCCTTCCAAATCCCAATTGCACCAGAAGCTGCTGGAAACTAACTTGAGTCTGATTTTTCTGCTGGTCATTGGGTTAACTGCACCACAGGCATGAGGGAAAAGAAAAGCCGCTATCTCTAAGCAAATCTTCCCCATATCAGAAAGCCCAGAGGGGGCTCTGCTGTCCTGGGATTCCTGTTCCGAGGAAAAAAAATCCACCAGCATGGTAAATCTACTCAAGGCACGCTGGCTCCGTCTCCCTTCCCAGCAGTAACAGCCCCACTGACGTTGATGCCCCACAATCTTATATCCCAGGACTGGAGAATGGGCTGCCCCCAGCAGTGACCCGAACCTTTTTGCTTCCTTGAGTGGATTAAACTGTCAAGTTTCCGGGTGTTTGCAGAGCGACAGGAGAGCTGCAGACAGTAATGTGGTTTTATTTACAACATCACCGCTCCAGCAACATCACTGGATTCTGAAAACACAGTACAATTTTCAGCCCCTTGGGGATTTCTAGGACATGATTTCCATAAAAATTAAATATTGATGAATCTTATCTCTCTGCCAACTTCCCTGCTTCTCGCACCCTACCCTATGCTTCAGTGAGAGAGAGAAAGGGTGCTTCAGTGAGAGAAAGAAGAGGAAAAAAGGATCCAAGAATACAAGGCAAAAAAAGAAAGTGAGAAGATAGATTTGGGATTGTTTCAATCAGACAGGTGAGGGGTTAAAGAAAGAGCTGGCTCAGCCTGTGTCCGAGGGCAGAAAGATATGCATCCTCATCCTGATCCTGCATCTACAGCCTGAGCCTGGGTCGGTCTGGACGCACGGCTAGTGCTGGGCTGGGCTGAGGTATGGGTGGGCATTCAGCCTAGAGCAAGGTCATGACTCAGCAAGGGCAGGGCTCTGAGGCTGGCGGGGATCCACATGCGGGAGGCTTGGTCTGTGGCCACTAGGTCAAGGAGTGAACATTCCTCCAGGTAAGGAGCAAGGTTCCAGGCGGGACCTCTGTAACAAACCAGCCCCTCTCGGCATCATCTCCTCCATCTTCAGTCCTCCTTGAGCACTTTTCTAGGATCCCCAGGGTTACACAGAATGACAGAGATTTCAGGGATCACAGAAGGGGAAACTGAGGCTCGGAGGTAGGCAGTGAACAGCCCAGGATGCCCAGCCTGCCAGGTGAGTGGGAAAAGGAGCCAGCCTTCTGGACTCCAAGTCCAGGACCTTGCCACATCAACACAGCTCAACTCCTAAGAGGCAAATACATGGATGTGCTGGGTTTCCAGTGAAATCTGCAAACCAATATGGAGGTTAGCTCTGCCAGTCTCTTGCCTCCAGAGCAGTTCCCTTCACTCCAGAGGCAGATCTGGATATTCAAGGTACAAAAAGGAAAGAAGACACCCACAAAGATGACTTCAAGGACTGGGGACAAAGGGGACAGACTTTTGCTTTCAGGCATATGTCAGGTTGGCTGAAAACTTGTCCAGTGATGCTGTAACTGAGAATGGGGCCTTGTGATTTGGAGAGGCAGATGCTGGGAGTGGAACCAACACAAAGCTTGTCATCAGGAACTGTGGGCTTTGAATCCCATCCATGGACTGCCAACGAGCAACTGGGCATCTCTGAGCCTTGGCTTTATCATCTGTAAAAGGGCTTGCAGTTTAATGACTAAGGGCTCTCACAGAGTTTGGATGTGTGTCCCCTCCAAATCTCATACTGAAATGTGACCCCCAATGTTGGAGGTGGGGCCTGGTTGGAGGGGTTAGATCATAGGGGTGGGGATGCCTTATGAATGGCTTAGCACCATCCGCTTGGTAATGAATGAGGGAGTTCTTGCTCTCAGTTCACGGACAGCTGGTTGTTTATAGGAGCCTGGCACCTCCTCCCCATCTCTTGCTCCATCTCTCACCATGAGATATGCTGGCTCCCCCTTCACCTTCTACCATGATTGGAAGCTTCCTGAGGCCTCACCGGAAGCAGATGCTAGGGCCATACTTATGCAACTTGCAGAACCATGAGCCAAATAAGCCTCTTTTCTTTATAAATTACTCAGCCTCAGGTATTCCTTTATAGCAATGCAAATGGGCTAACACAGGCTCTGGAGTCTATAGGTGTGAGTTTAAATTTAGCTGAATTGAGTCTTGGTTCCTCCATCCATATGGTGGATCTGGGGATTGAAATACTCTTGAAGTGCCTTTCAGAGAGTAGACACTCAGTAAGCATGGATGGGCTGAGTCCAGGGGAGGCAAATGCATGGGGTCAGAGGCAGGGGCTTCCTCCCACCCCCACAGCATTCACTTTTCTCCACAAAAAGAGTACACTCACCAGTCCCCTTCTCCGTGCGCTGTAGCACACACTCTAAACAGAGGCTGCAATATCCACTCTATGCATATGAGAGCAGGCCAAGCATGATTGTTTGTGGCAAATGTCAGAGTGTCTCCAGGGGACCCTGTGGGATGTGGGATGTCTCCAGGGGCAGATGGCTCTCTGAAGACTTGAGCCCCAGACAGCAGACCTACTTAACCCACCAACCACCCCAGGTAACACCATCCCTATCAAAGCCAAACAAACATCCTTCAGACAGAAGAGTCTGTGAAACACAGTGTGACTCAGAACCGCCCAACCATTGGGATCCTAAGGTACCTGGCTTTCCACTGACCTGGGAAAGGACTGGCTCTTCATCCCAGGAAGTTTCTCAAACATCCCCCACACACTGAAAGAACTAGGGGACACTGAATAATCACAATGATCATAAGCATTGTCTGGAACACTTGCTACTCCAGACACACCCCAAAACATAAATCACAAAACTGTTCGTGCCCACAAAGTCACTGAATCCTCATCACAGTCTGGTGAGGCACTTTCATCTCCACCCATCCCATTTAGCAGACGAGAAAACTAAGGCTCTGTGTTATGTGACCTGGCCAGGATCACAAAATGAGAAAGTGGTGGAGTAGGAGTATGAACCCAGGTTACCACGACTCTAAAGCCCTTTTACCAGCTTCAGAAGGATGAGGCTAGAAGACACACTTCCCAAAATGTATAAAAAGTCTTAAAAGGGCTCATATAAAATGTACCTATCCTTTGCCCCAGCAATTCCTTATCTGCCAATATAGCCCAATGAAATACTTATGAATGGGCTCAAAGGTTTATTTTCAAGGATGTTTGTGGCAGCATTGTTTATAACAGCAATAAGGAAAAAGAAAAAAAAAGAAAGGAAATGGCCTAAATGTCCCTCAGGAGAGGACAGAATGCCAATAAGCGATAAGGCATAGCACGGTGAAAGAAAATGCTCACAACATATTCAATGAGAAAAAGGAACAAATGTGAGAAGGAATGAGTCAATGTTTATAAAACAAATTACGTAGAGATACACCTAGAACAAAAGACCAAAAAGATGTTCAATGTTATTAGTTGTTACAGGTGCATTCTATTTTTATTTCTGCACTTGGAAAATTTTCAAATTCTCTAAAATAGATATGTGTTAACCCCCCAGAAAAACAAACAATACGTGTTTTTCAAAATATGCAGAGAGTACAGTATCAACAGGTTTACCACAGACTTTTTATAAGCAATTCAAAGCATATCCAATAGCTCTTGGAATGACTACAGCATTTTGTCAAAGAGAAAATTCTTATTCTCAAGGCTCACAAAACCCAGACTCTTACAGACCCAACCATTGGCAAAGACATGAACTTGGGTGCCCCATGGAGACCATAAGGCTACCTTGGATAGACCGAATCTATTGGAATCCAAGTGGATTTTGCAAGAGCAGCTGCCCAGCTGAGAACAAACAGGTTCCATATTAATGCATGCTTTTCCATTTGAAAGGTGGCTAGATGAGCACCACCATTAAATGGCCAAACAAGCAAAAAAACTTAGAAGAAATGTCAATGGGAAAACATCCAGGTGATTAATGCGTAAAGAATTTAGACGCCCAAAAGAGGCTAAAAGAGGGGAAAAAGAAAGCTCAACACCTTTCTTCCTCCTCTCCCTGCGATTCCTTTATCAGTAGAATCACTAACAGCAGCTGGGAGAACAAACCTCACATCACAAGGTATAATCGCCGGTGGAGTGTCTCACATTAGTAACCTATTTGCAGATGGTGTTAGATTTCGCTCATCAGCCTCCTTTCGGAGCACCCCCACAAATGGCCTATCTACTTGAGCACAAATATCAGGCGACAAAACTAATTACCCCAGATCTGAATTGGTAGCAATGCAAATATCGAAGCTGCCCCCTGCTCACTCTTGCCTTGCGTTGAAACAAAGGAGCCGATAGGATCCTGAAGGGGACTGAGAATGAGCAGGTCTCTTTCCATCTCCATACGATCACAGGAAATTAGACAAGATCATTTCACTGGGCTTTAAAAACACATTACATTGGTCAATTCCCTCTTGCTGGCAGAGAGTCAGATCATTAAGATGCAGATATCACCTGGAATGTTCTTTTTCTGTCAAACTACACTCTTGGATCTCCCCAAATCCATTTTCGCGAACTAGCAAAAACAGTAGACATTTTATCTGGGGCCACAAATAAGCCTCAGATGGTGCTCAAAGGTGGGGGCACTACAAGGAACCCCCTCCTCTTTTCCTGTTTCCAAGCCCCACCTCTCACATCTGCTGCTCCCAGCCCCACTGCCCGGCCAGCTCTAATTAAGCCCCTAGCTTCCTACCCCCAGGCTCAGCTCTGCCCCATTTAACATTCTACTGTGAGCATTTTCCATCATCAAAGTCTTTGAAAACATTTTCAATGGTTGTATTATAGTCCACTGTATGGCCGTGGCATAATTTAACCATTCCCACATCATAGGACATTTGAGCTTGTTTTTCGGCCAAATTAGGATGAGATAAAGCTGCCACCGGGACTGCCAGGCAGCCTCCACACCACTGGCCTTTCCAGAGAGGACGTGCTTGGCACTTCAGAGCAGGCAAATACGGCCAGACATCCCCAGATTCACCTCTCTCGCCACCCTCAACATTCAGGAGGGAAGAGAGGATACCATTCCCTGCAAAGAGTTCTCTGGCCTCTGCAGGTCTGGGTCAGATCAACTTCCAAACAATTTCACATCCATCAGACCTCAATACTAGAGGGAGAATTTGCTTCTCCATCCTCACAATGGTTGGAAGAGACCATTGCTCCCCAGGATTCAGCCCCACGGGGATATGGGCCATGACTGGGCATGGCTGCCTGGCATCTTCAGGTGGCTCTCCAGGGCTGTGGTTCTCAACCAGGGGTGATTTTACCCTCCAGAGGACATACGGCAATGTGTGGGGACTGTGTGTCACAACTGAGGGAATATGGGCTGTTGGCATCTAGTGGGTAGAGGCTAGGGATGCTGCTAGATATCCTACAATGCACAGACAGATCCCAACATGAGTAATATCCAACCCCAAATGCCAACAGATCCAAGGCTGTGAACCCCTGCTCTAGAGTGAAGTCAGAATTCCAGCAAAACCCCTGCCAGGCATCTGCAGAGCTCAGAGCTGAGGGGCTAACAGTACAGACGGTTTGAGTTCAAGTTACACCCACATCCACGGGCGAGACAAGCGAGAATGGATGGACAATCTGGGAGCCAAAGGCTCGCTCCGTTGGGCAGATGGCGGTTTGACTTAAAGGCATGACATCCAGGGCACTGTTCTTGCCCTACCTGAAATCCCTAACTCCAGAACCAGGTCACAGGTCGACTTCTGTGGCAGCTTTGCCAAGGCATCTCTGAGGGTACCCCTGAGAAATGCTGTATCCCAGAAGGATCCAAGGAGAACTTCCCTCCCACATTGGACAGGTCAGCTGCCCCGCTCACCCACAAACCCATCCATGCCTCATCCTCCTCCCTGGGGGTTCCCACTCCTTCTTTCATGCCCCCACATCCTCTCTTGTGGATTCCAACCCTGTGGTGTCTCTTAGACCTACTCCCTTCTTTATTAGCTCTCATCCTCTCCGTGCTCCAGAACATCCTACCTGCAGCTATAAAGTGCCACACAAGCCATACCAGCCCCTCCCACCCACTGAAAAAAGTCTCAACCTTGAGGCAGGCATTCAAGCTATATGGCTCTGATGACTGGAGGGACACCAGGGTTCTTGGTCTCGTGCCGGTTTAGACATGGACACATGTGGGGTGATTTTAAGGAGTGAAAAGTTTAACAGGCAAGAAAGAAGGAAGGAAGAAGAAAACAGCTCCCCGTACAGAGACAGAGGGAGGGGGGATTTGAACAAAGAGAAAACCCCGTGTGCAGCGGAAAAGTGGCTGCTTATATTGGGATGCTGGAGGAAGCGGTGTCTGCGTTCCATAAGGCCCAGGGGATTGGTTTGACCAGGTGTGTCATTTACGTAGCCCTTGAAAAACCTGGCCCTCCCACCTTAGTCCTTTAATATGCAAATGCAGGTCATCATGATGTTCTGAACACATGGTGTTATCTGGAGGTGGCCATGACACTCGGTACACCTGGTAACAAGGAAAAGACAGTGGGAATCACCATATTGAGTGAACCCAGTTGCTCTCTTTTTTTTTTTGTTTTTGAGACAGAGTCTTGCTCTGTCGCCCAGGCTGGAGCGCGGTGGTGTGATCTCGGCTCACTGCAACCTCTGCCTCCTGGGTTCAAGCGATTCTCCTCCCTCAGTCTCCTGAGTAGCTAGGCCTACAGGCAGGCGCCACCACACCTGGCTAATTTTTGTATTTTTAGTAGAGACAGTGTTTCACCATGTTGGCCAGGATGGTCACAATCTCTTGAACTCATGATCCGCCCACCTCAGCCTCCCAAAGTGCAGGGATTACAGGCATGAGCCACCGTGCCTGGCCCTTTAAGCCGCCTTTTCTGTTAGAAAAGAGATGGTTTGGGGGTTGTTTCTTATTACAGGAAAATTTCCACCCAGAACCTTACTTTCTGCCTAAAATAACTTCTTAATAACTCTTGTATCACAAAGCCCTCTGCAATTTGTACCCCCTGACCTTTCACAGCCCCCCAAGTAACCCTGCACGCTGGGCCACCTGGGCTGCTTTCCTGCCACCTGGTTCCTGCTCAGCAGTTGCCTCTTCTTGGAACACACTCCTTAATCCCCTCAGCCACCTGCCAACACTGCCCCACATCCTCCAGTTCCAACCCTTCCCAAAAGTTGCAACCATCTTCCTTTCTCAGCCTCCTTCCAAGCCTTCTTCACCTTCTTCAGGCACTGCCCTTACTCTGCCACCAGTGAGAGTCACCTGCCCCTGGCTGTGCCCACCGTCTCAGCATTTGCGTTTTGCCAAGTCCCACTAAATATGCGCTGCCAATACCCACTTTAAACTTTAAAGCTGGAAATGATGACTCTGTTCCTCACAGCTGCAAATGTTGCAGCCCTAAACAATGGAACTCAGGAAACACCACCCTCCCAGTCCCATCTGACCACGCAGAGGCAGCCCGGATAAGGATCAGGTGTCAGCACTGGCTCCAGTGTTGTGAGTGCTGAGGACAGAGGCTGTTTCTGAGAAACCTGGATGCCCTTTCCATGTAGTTCTGACCCAAACAATTCACGACTGCTCCGGCCATAGCAGAGAAGGGAACTTGTCCTTGAAATGCGTTGTGAGGGGAGATGGACAAGGTGCTAATGTGTGATAGCACAAGACACCAAGAGCCTGCGTGTATCTTCTGGCACATGCTCCAGTGTGAAACTGCAGCAATCTGGATTTATGCCAGTAAATATGAAGGAAGGCTGAAAATACAAGTTGAAGAGTTATAAGCCTTTAAATTCTTGTCTGTAATCACAAATACAAACTCTCTGGACCAGCCGGGCACAGTGGCTCATGCTTGTAATCCCAGCACTTTGGGAGGCCAAGGAGGGCAGATTGCTTGAGCCCAGGAGTTCAAGACCAGTCTGGGCAACTTGGTGAGACCCCCCCCACCCCGCCCCCCTGTCTCTGCAAAAAATACACAAAAAAATTAGCTGGGCATGGTAGTGTGTGCCTGTAGTCACAGCTACTCAGGAGGCCAAGGTGGGAGGATCACTTGAGCCCAGGAGCCAGAGGCTACAGTGAGCTATGATCACACCACTGCACTCCAACCTGGGCATCAGAGCGGAACACTGTCTCAAAAAAAAAAAAAAAAGAAAGAACTCTCTGGGCCCTAATGAGGTACACAAAGGGAGGACCCCCAGAAAACTGAGGCATCTGCCTAAAATGCTGCTTTGAGCCCCCCAACACACACAAAATAAGGGTTACGAGGGTGCCTTGCCTCCCCCTCACACATCACTGATCGGGGTATAAAATGAATACAATCCTCGCCAAGGACAACCTGACAAAGTTTACCAAAATGATAAAGACACTCAGTCTTTGACCCAGCATCTCCAAGGAATATTTTTCTTACAGATTCACTCACACAAAGTGATCTACGTACATACACAGGTAGTCACTGCCGCATCGTTTGTGAAGGCTGGAAATAGGCGAAATGCTAAACTGGTTAAATAAATTATAGGACCTCCGTGCAATGGTAAAAAAGAATGAGAAAGCACTTTGTGTCGCGACGTGAGACAATCTCCGAGACAGGCTGTCCGGTGAAGAGTTCAGTGCAGAAGGGCGGGTGCAGCTCCTGCCCGGCTGCGGGGCTTGTTAGAGAATGGGCAAGGATGCAGTTGCTTGAATATTCAGTCTCTCTGGAAGTAGACATGAGAAGCCAGGACAATCCAGGCAAGGAAATGCATGGAGTGAGAGGAAGGCTTCCCTGCTATGCCCTTTGGCGTCTTCATTATGCTCCAAGTAAGCATGTTCCTATTTAAAACTAGTCCGAAACACTAATGGCTCATGGCCACAATGGCCACCCCTTTCTTTCCCTTCTCTTCCTCCTCATCTTCTCCGTCTCTTCCCCCTTCCATAACGCCGAATGGCAGCAG